>NC_000010.11:84234004-84385519 GCF_000001405.40 Homo sapiens
CCATTTGGGGAGCTGCTTTGCCCTCCCCAGTCTAGGTTCTCAGTGCAGCATCCCTGTAGCTCACATACCTGTACCATTAAGGGGCCTGCCATTGGCCCTCCTCCAGCTCATCTCGGGCCCAGGGACTCCAGTAGCTCCACAGCGTAGCAGTGCTGTGCCACCCAAAAGGGACCTGATGCTGGCCACTCCTGGATGGAGCTCTGGGCCCTGGCACTTCCTCAGTTCAAGCTGGCTGAAGGCCACTCCGGCCAGGCTACGTGGGCTGGCACATCTCAGTTCAGTCTCAATGAAGGCCAAGTTTGGGGCCCAGCCATCCAAAAGATGAACCAGGTCATAGAGTCGGCAGTCACATGCCCAGGGGTTGTCCTGTAGCCCTGCAGGAGTAAAAAAGAAGACAAGATATTCAGATAGATACTCAACGTCCTCAGGCCCAGCACCCCTTCCCCTCTGGAAGGACAGGCAGGTCCTCATTCAGAGTCAGCAGAACTGGCCTCTGGACCCAGCTCCTTGCCTTGCTAGTAGTATGACCTGAAATTTGATTTTTCTGTGTTAAATAGTAGCATTACTTTCTTTTCAGGGTTGCTTTAAGCATAATCAGAAATAAATCATATTAAGTACCGGGTAGATATACAGCATACTGACAAAACCGGCAATTACTGTTGCCATTCTTGGACTGATCCTTTCAGGCCACTGGCCAGGCAGTATTTCCACAATAATTGCAATATGACAAAATCCATTTCCAGAAATGCATCACTGACCCCTGATCCTTGATGCCAGTTCTCCCAGTATAAATGGTATTTTCAGCATCATCCCGGCAATGAAGGTGGCTGCTCTGAGCCATGGTCCCTTTGACATAGGCTTAAATGGGCGTAAACAGCAGGGTGACAGGGCCAGAAAATCAAATCCTAGGCTATATCCCCTACTGTCTTTACTCTAAAATTGAACATTCTTACAGAGCTGAAAGCAGATCACTGTACCCACTCTGTCAAAGAACATTATAGAGATGGAGGGGTACCATGTGCATATAAATGAGGGGTACTATGTGTCCTCAATTCTAAGGCACAATTCCTTCTTATAGGGTTGCATTACTGAAATGCAAGATAAATACACTTGATATGATGTTCTTTTAGTCCCCAAAGACTTATTGAATTTAATAGTATATCTAATAATCAATGATATCTTATACATTCACACAGATATATTTAATACGTGCATCACAGGGTTGGGGTGGGTGCATTCAGATCTGATTGTATATTCATGTCTCTCAGGTCTCTTTGAGCACAACCCACGGGTGCCAGTTCCTTTTCCCACCTCCCCCTCACCCCATCTCACCAGTGGTTGCTGCCTTGTGTCATTGGTTAAACGCACTTAATGATACATCTGCAACCCAAGATTCATCAATGCCTGGCTCCAGTGGTGAGCTACCTGGCTTTCGTTTTATCACAATAGGGCCAGAAAGAATGAATGTAAAAGGCAAAGTTAAACAACAGTGAAACTTTCACTTGCCAGACTGACAAAAGTTAAACATTTTGGCCATTTTAATTGTTAGTTCCATGAGTGTATACGTTTTCACCTCTTTTGTTCTCTGCTGTATTCCCAGCACCTAGAATTGGAAGGCATTCAAAAATATGGAGTCTCACTCATTGCCCAGGCTGGAGTGCAGTGGAGCAACCTTGGCTCACTGCAACCTCCGCCTTCTGGGTTCAAGTGATTCTCCTGCCTCAGCCGCCCAAGTAAGTGGGATTACAGGTGCCCACCACCACATCCAGCTAATTTTTGTATTTTTAGTAGAGACAGAGTTTCACCATATTGGCCAGACTGGTCTCAAACTCCTGACTGCAAGTGATCCACCCGTCTCGGCCTCCCAAAGTGCTGGGGTTACAGGTGTGAGCCCCCGTACCCGGCCCAGATGGGTTTTTAAATGTCTAATATGCACACTCTGTGACCTGATAACTCCACTTCTCAGTTCCTATCCTAGAGAAACATTGATGTGCACAAGAACGTATTGCCGGCCGGGTGCGGTGGCTCACACCTGTAATCCCAGCACTTTGGGAGGCCGAGGTGGGTGGATCACGAGGTCAGGAGATCGAGACCATCCTGGCTAACATGGTGAAACCCCGTCTCTACTAAATATACAAAAAATTAGCCAGGCGTGGTGGCAGGCGCCTGTAGTCCCAGCTACTCGGGAGGCTGAGGCAGGAGAATGGTGTGAACCCGGGAGGCAGAGCTTGCAGTGAGCCGAGGTCGTGCCACTGGACTCCATCCTGGGCGACAGAGCAAGACTCCGTCTCAAAAAAAAAAAAAGGAATGTATTGCCAAGAATGTTCTCTGTTGCATCATAGGTGTTACCAAATAATGGAAACAATGTAAAAGTCCATTAAAGGGGGAATGGCTAAATAAACTATAGTATAAATATGTTTATAACATAGTGCAGATATAGTATACTATAGAATATTGTGCAGTAGTTTTAAAAATAAACTTGATCCATTTGTAGTAATTTAGAAAGATCTACGAGATATAGTGTTGGGTCAAAAAGTTAGCGTTGGTTAGTATGTATGACAAAATTTTATGTAAAACATACACATAACTTTTCTGAATCCATGTATGTATGTGTGTATATGTATATACATATGCATATGAAATGTATCTGAACAGATAGGGAGCTTGCATATAAATATGATAATAGTAACTACTTTTGGGAAGGGGTTGGAATAGGGAGAGAGGACAGAAGGGTCTTTAACCTCTTCTGCAATATTTTAAACATTTGTATTTATTCATGTATGAGTTGTATAATTCAAATCAATTTTCCAGAATGAATTATGCCCCTTCTGTCATTCTCAGGACCAGGCAGGTGCCTTGGGCAGGAAAGATCTGGTTCACATGGTAAGCTGTTGGTTTGTTAAGAACAGGAAGGAACCGAAAAAATAGCAGGTCCAGCTGGTGTAGTGTACTAACCCATTCAGCTCTGAGTTGGGAAATTGAGTCTCAGGGGCCTTCTCCTGGTTGTATGACCTGGAAAGACCTCTCTTATGACTGCGATATGAACTGCCACAGTCTGGCTTGTGGATTGAGCTCCTAAACCCGCCGCTCTTGTGGATCTCACTGTCTTTGCTCAAACCTGGAAGGAAGGTATGATTTCAATTTTCCAAATAATCGAAACTCAGGGAAGCGTGGTAACTTGCCTAAGACCCCAGGTGAAGGTTGCCGACCCTTACCTAGGACCCGCCTGGGGTGGTGGCCGGGAGGAAAGATACCGGTCTCCAGGTGAGCCCAGGAGACGATGAGCTCCTGCGGGAGCCTCATCAGCTGGTTGCTGGAGAGGTCGAGGAAGGTGAGGTTCTCCAGGAAGCGCGCGGCCTCAGCGGGCACAGCCGAGAGGCGGTTGGCCTGCAGGTCCAGCAGCCGCAGCTTGGGGGCGTCCCTGAGCGCCGCCCAGGGGAAGGCGGCCAGGCGGTTCCCGGGCAGCCGCAGCTCCCGCAGGCGTCGCAGGCCCCGCAGCATGAGGGCGTTGAGCTCGCTGAGGGCGTTGTAAGGCAGCCACAGCTGCTCCAGGCGGCCCAGGGGCCTGAAGGCCTCGCCAGGAACCCTGCGTATGGCCGTCCGCTCCAGGCGCAGTCTGGAGGTGTCCGGGGGGATGGACGCCGGGGGCAGGGTCATGTCGGGGTCGTTGCACACTACTGTCCTGCTGGCAGAAATGAGGGATAGTTGAGCAAGGATCCTGCCGGGTCTGGGATCTCCCACCGCTACCTCCCTTCGCGAGGCCTCCAGTTCTGCCTGTTATCACCGGACACCCACACCAGAGTCCAAGCCATGACGGGGACCTGGAGAGGGGCCCGGAGTAAGCAGACCTACTTTTCCCTTTGCAGAGGTCTTGCTCTCAGAGCCTTTCACAATGGTCCCAGGAAGGTGATTTGGTCTTCACGGTCCGGCAAGACCCCACCCTTACACTGTTACGACCCATAACAGCCCGCAGCACCCACAGTGCACTAAGAATGAACAGCATTAATAAACCCCATGATCGCGTTGTGCACTGTTGCTTTGCAAATATGCGTTAGAAGTGTTCGTTTGGCCGGGCACAGTGGCTCACGCCTGTAATCCCAGCACTTTGGGAGGTGGAGGCGGGTGGATCACCTGAGGTCAGGAGTTCAAGATTAGCCTGGCCAACATGGTGAAACCTTGTCTCTACTAAAAAATACAAAAATTAGCCAGGCATTGTGGTGCACCCCTGTAGTCCCAGCTACTCGGGAGGCTGAGGCGGGACAATCGCTTGAACCTGGGAGGCAGAGGTTGCAGTGAGCCGAGATCACCCCACTGCACTCCAGCCTGGGTGACACAGCAAGACTGTCTCAAAAAAAAAAAAAAAGTGTTCGTTTGTTAAATTATACCTCAATTTTTGTAACTGTTTTGGTTTATCGTTTAACAAAAAATATACCAAGGACATCAAAAATGAAACCACCTCAAGTCTCTCCCACCTCTGCGGAGCCATGCGATCGATGATCAAGTTGTTTAAGAGCCAGGACTTGGCAGCCCCACAGCTGGATTCACACCTGGGCTCTTTGCTTGCTGGCTGTGTGTCCTTGAGTACATTAGGTAACCTCTCTTTTCCTCAGTTTTGCCATCAAATAGACCCCACAAGGTGGTTATGGGGTTTAAATGAGGTAATGCATGTGGAAGCCCAGCACATTGCCTGCCACCCTGCATGAGCCCAAGGGTATGGATCACTGTCATCAATGTTTGCATCTCAGCACTGCAAGTAGATCGGGTCAGTCTTATCAGCTCTTCTACCCAAACCACGACTTCTTAAACCTTATTCCATTAAGTTTGAGACTAAAGCAGAGGATAGAGAGATAATAGGAGGCAGTCCCTGCCCTCAAGAAGCCTACATTTCAGGGCTATGTTTTATACTACGTAAACTGAAAACAAAATCCTAAGCCCCCCAGCCACTGAACAGGCCCTTCTAAGGGAGGTTGTTCTCTTGTAATAGCATAACCTACTGGTGATATCAGGCTTTCCTGGAGGTGCACACACATATCACCAGCATCCCTCAGCATAAGTCTATGCTCCACTTAAAGGCAGCTGGGCTGGGCTTGTTTTTTCTTGTAAACAGTGTCCACAAACAGCACGGATATTCTTACTCACTCCTTTTGAGCAAATATACATGGAACTCTTACTAAGTGATGAGCAATTCAGAAGAGAATCAGCCTCATAGCCCCTGTCTCCATACAGTGTGTAATCTAGCTCAGGAAGAAAGAGCATTTACAGCAATGATATTTCCAGATACTACAATAGGTTCGGGCAGGTGTGATAGCTCATGCTTGTAGTCCCAGCTACTCAGAAGGCTGAGGTGGGAAGGTGGCTTGAGCCTAGGAGTTGGAAGCTACAGTGAGCTATGATTGTGCCACTGCACTCCAGCCTGGGTGACAGAGCAAGACCCTGTCTCAAAAAAAGTAATACAGGTTTGGGTATTGCAAGGAGGAAGGTCTGGATGTAGGTGAGAGAAAGACAGGTGATTGGAAAACTTATCTTGAACGGGAGAGAAAACGGTAAAAGGGGCATTTAAAGGAAACCATAAGAACTCAATGCAAGCCTACACCACAGCTCAAACCTCCAGCACAACTCCGGGTGGGGTAAAACCAGAGGCAAACTGGGACAAACAGCATGGGCACAAATCCATTCAGATGCATAGCCCAGCTCCTCCCAGGCAACCCCAGTGCCCACAGGCACACACTTCACGATACAACAGCTCAGACATAAAGGCTGGGCTCTCTGAGAGGCCCAGGTTAGAGAGGGATCTGAGGAAGGCTTCTGACATGCAGAACGAGCTTTGGTCTAACTGCACAGTCTGTGCCCATAGCCACAGGGGACCTCAGGGCCCGCTACCACCTTTCATGGCCTCATAGGACCCTCCATGCAGATGGGCTGGTGCATGTTAGCCATGGGATAGTCAGGCGGGTAGAACCAAGAGCTCTGGCTTCAGAGAAGGGAATGCCCACTGACTTACATTAGCGGCCCTAGAAACTCATTTTCCATCTTAAGATTAACTCTGCTGCCTGGAACTTACCACTGGTCCCTGCCCATGGCAGCATCACCAGATAAGTGTTCTGAAAACTGAATCGGAATGCCTGGGTTCCAGGACCGGTTTTGTCAATGATGCTGTGTGGCTTTCAGCCCTATGCCTTCTACGGGTGGTGGGAGGCTTTTTGTCACTCCAGTGACACTGCCCAGGCTGGGAACAGCAGGCTGTTCAGGGCTCAGCCTGGCTTCTACTGGGGACAGGACCCTTACACTTCATATGAGTTGATGCCTTGGACACTTGGGCTACAGTGGAGCTCATTCTGGTTCTCAGATCATTTGAGGTGTCTTTTCTTAGTGGTTCTTCTCCATTCTCCTCTCATCCCCCAATCAACTCGACATTCATTGCCAAGATTATTAAAAGGGTAGCTCCAATAACATTGTTCCCAGGATCAGAAACCATCAGTGGCTCAGAAACCATGCAGAGGTCATTAATGGATAAGCTAAAGAAGTTGGAGAAAAGATGATTTAAACGTTGCTAAAGAAAAGAAGAAAATGAGCAGTAGTGGAAGAGCAAGGGTCCACAAGCCACAGTGGCATGGGAATGTCCCATGAAAGGAGAGGAGGAGAGAATGGAGGTGCTCTGAGGGATCAGACAGAGGGTGGGGAAAGTCAAGGAAAAGGCTGGGGATGGAAGGAAGCATGCTTGTCATGGGATGGGCACTCCTGGCTTTTGGAGCACTCATAAAAAGGTATTGAGGCTGAGGCTCCTGGGATCTGGCCAGCGAAGATGGAGAGGAGGAAGAGAATGAGAGGCAAGTGGTCCCATCATGGGTGGGGTTGTAGGAAATGCCTGGGATATGATTGAATATTGTAGAGAGGTCAGGCAAGAGAGTGCAAGTGGCCTGGGAAAGAAGGGGCTGGGGAAATATAGAAAAGAAGAGGGAATAGAAAAAATAAAAGAGAAGAAAAAGCAGTAAGGGAGGAGATTTCCTGGACCTTTAAGGAGGGCTCTTCACCAGGAGCCTGGAGGAGGACTTAGGAAGGACTTCTTAGAACTGACATACTTGTGCCTCACCCTCGGGCCCATGTGTATAGATACCTGGTACCTCTCGAATAGAGTCACCCCCTTGCCTGCTGGAAAACAATGCAGCACAGTCCACCCCATAGGATCCCTGGTCCTCAAGGGCCAAGGGAGATGAAGACCTCACCCAGGGCCCCAGCTCCAACTCCTCCCAACCCAGCCTAGCTGGCAAAGCAATGGAGGCTGGGCTGCCCGTCCCACGCACCCGGTACCATACCTGGCCTTGCTGCCATCACCCATGATATGGAGGCTGCAGCTGCATTGAGAGGGGCAGAAGCCCCGGGCCTGGGGGGGCCACGCAAGGGCCAAGAGCCAGAGCATGCCTAATGCCACCCTCATGGCTCCTGGCTCCTCTCTGGCCCAGGCAGGGGCCTGTCCCTGGACCGCTCCGTCCCACCGGCCCAGCAAGCTCAGCAGCTGCCCACTTGCTCGCCAGCCCCTTACACCCCCTCCTGAGGCCATCGGATAAACATGGACAGACTGGGGATTAGGGAGGGGAGTCCCAGCCGCAGCACTCAGAGGCTTATTGCTTTCTGAATCACTCAGTCCTGAGGGTAGGGGCGGGGGACCCCCTTCCATAGCAATATCCACAGGCCCAGAGAGGCCAGGGCAGGGCACAGCAAAGCAAGACAAGTAGGCAGCTTTCCAGAGGCGAGCAGCCATGGGACTGTCATCTGCAAAGCATCCCATCCCAACAAGGCCACGGACAACACAGACCCCACTGGAGTGCCAGGGAAGATGGAGAAAGAACCCCCGCCTCAGTAAGGGCCTTTGGAAATTCTTTCCTGTGACACTGTCTCATAGCAAAAAAGCAGTGAAATGAAGCAACTCTTCCTGATGGTGCTAAAGGCATTGGAAGGAGGCTAAGCTCTGGACCCAGGCTTCCTGGGGTCAAATCCCAGCTGCTCCATTAAGGGGCTGTGACCTTGGGTGAGTCACATTATCTCTTGGCCTCTGTGTCCTTATCTGACAAAGAGAAATAAAGTTACTTCATGCAGGGTGTTTGTGAAAATCAAACTCAAATTCCAAGGCCTTGACAGCCTGTGGGAACAGAAGCTCTCTCACAAGTTGTAAGTGCCCAGTTTCACTGGTACTTATAAGACCCTACTTACAGAAGAACTGGACAGATTCAGATATTTTGGGGAGACATCAGAGGTGTCTCTCATGAGCCCACAAACTGTCCCAGGCTGCCAGGCAAACAGCTGCCTGCCTTGAGTGCCCCATGGATATGGACTCAACACACTACTATTTCAGCTGAGCCCTTCTGGGCATTGCTACGAATGCCAAAGGTGGAGATGTCTCCACATAAGGGACAAGGGCACCCCTCTCCTCAAGGTGCCCTACTCCAAGGAGGGCCCCAGAGAGGTAGCTCAGAGAGGTCTTAGAGAAGGCACTTTCAGGTTTTTTTGGAGACAGGACCCCAACCTCTAATAAGGGCCTTTGGAAATTCTCCATCCATAAAGCTTTGTTTTGCTTTATAGGGACAGGGTTGCTCTGTCACTCAGAGTGGAGTGCAATGGTGTAATCATAGCTCACTGTAGCCCCGAACTCCTGAGCTCAAGCCATCCTCCTGCCTCAGCCTCGCAAGTAGCTGGAACTGCAGGCAACCACCACCATGTTTGGCTATTTTTAAAAAATTATTTTTTGCAGTCAGGGTCTTGCCATGTTGCCCAGGATGGTCTCAAACTCCTGGCCTCAAGCGATCCTCCTACCTCAGTCTCCCAAAGTGCTGGGATTACAGGCCTGAGCCACTGCACCCAGACTAATTTCAATTTTTACTTATTCTCTCCTAACCCTATCTCGCCCCACCATATCTACTCAAGATGCCAGTGGGGACTGACCAGGGATGATTCCCAGCAGTAGACACTCAGTCGACTCATTCATTCATTCTTCACATTTGACCCTGAGGCATTGTTCTCTGGTCCAGCATGCCCTACCTATGTTGTTTGGCTTTTCTAGAAGGTTCCCCAGTCCTTCATGCCTGTGGCTCCAGGCAGGCCTAGACCAGTGAGGTATGACCTGCAAAGATATCTGGGGCCCCAGTGCACACATAAAATGCCTAGCTCGGAGCCAGGTCTGTTTCAACAATACTGGCTTCTCATTCTTTCCTTCCTTCCAATGCAGCCAGTAGGATTTTCTCAGTGCTTCCCAGCTATACTTCCACCTCCCCAAACCCAGCCGTCAGCTTGCCTGTTCCCACATCTCTGCTTCTTCCTCCTTGTGTCTTTTGCCCAAATGAACTTTACCCTTTAATCTTGGCCTTGCCCTGCTTTATCTCCTCTCATGAAGGCTTTTGTGATCTCGAAGGCATGAAAAAAGGACTGACATATGTATTAACCAACACCATAAGGTAGAAATTGAGACAGAAGGCCAGGCAGGGTGGCTCATGACTGTTATCCCAGCATTTTGGGAGTCCAAGGCCAGCAGATCACCTGAGGTCGGGAGTTCAAGACCAGCCTGACCAACATGGAGAAACCCTGTCTCTAATAAAAATACAAAATTAGCCGAGCATGGTGGCACATGCCTGTAATCCCAGCTACTCGGGAGGCTGAGGCAGGAGAATAGCTTGAACTGGGGAGGTAGAGGTTGCGTGAGCCGAGATTGCGCCATTGCACTCCAGCCTGGGCGACAGAGCGAGACTCCATCTCAAAAACAAACAAAAAAACAAAAAAGAAATTGAGAAAGAACAGGGAACGCTCTGGAGGGCGCAGCCATAAGCTCAGCCCTGCAGAGGGATTAGGCTTGGATGTAAGTGAGGACTCATGAGAGGAAAGGCCTGG
The DNA here is from genome assembly GCF_000001405.40 of Homo sapiens. Lineage (NCBI taxonomy): Eukaryota > Metazoa > Chordata > Mammalia > Primates > Hominidae > Homo > Homo sapiens. Next base: position 84,243,881 of record NC_000010.11, read on the forward strand.
GAAGTGGGCATTCCTGGAACAGAGTGGGTTGCTCTACCAGGTGAGTCAGAAGATGCCATTGAAAAATGCCTGAGCCTGAGGAATAGGAGATCGGCTTTTGTTCCAGCTCCATCCATAAATTACTGCATGGCCTCAGGCAGATTCTTAACTGTTTTTAGCCACAGTTTCCTCATCTAAAATGGAAAGGATAATGGTATCTAACTCATGGAGTTGTTGTAGGACTCATCAGAAGATCCCCTAGCACAGGGCCTGACCTCACTCAATATTAGCTATGTTGCTGATAGTGCTCTGGAGCTTGGTTTCTTTATCTGAAAATGAACTAAGTTGTCCTAGATCAGTATTTCCTGGTGTAAATTTTATCATGAGCCAGAGCATAACAGTGCATAAAGAGCCAGTGTATCAAGAAGTCATTTGTAGCAGCCAAAGCTCTTAGTGGGGCCGGCAAGGCTGGGCGGGTTCGGGGTCGGAGACTGACAAGACGGCAGGCAGCCCCTCTGTTCTAAGACAGTGTCCTAGGACATTTTTTATGCTCAGGTGCTCTATGGGAGACAGGAAATGCAGCCCTGAGGTTTATATTCGTGATATCTAACCAGGACTTATATAAAGGCCACAGACAAAAGACATTGACATTGCAGAAAAGTAAACGGAAGAGTCCAGTGGTCCCACTCCAAGGCGCATAACTAGTTAGTGGCAGATTCAGAACCAGAACCCCAACCCCATTTTCTGGTCCCAGATGGGGTTCTTCCTCTGACAGCAGGCGACTTCCCAAGCCTCATCCTTTCCCCAGCGCTTTGGAGTATACTCATGTGAGCCTGAGGACACACACACAGGCACCAGGCTTGTTGGGAACAGCTGCGGCTCAAATCCCTCCTCCTGCTCCCCTCCCCTGGTTATGCAACTCTTTTCCAATTAGGCTCTCAGCCACACACCATTTGGATTCCCCGACCTTAATCCTGTGCAATGGGGCTGAAATGAATGAGACAGGGCTCCATTCTGGCTTCACAAAGGCTGCATTGTCCAACTCGTGAATGGGTTCCTTCTGCTTGGGCCAAGAGGACCATTTGCAGCGGGGAGGCATCCAGAAACAGCCCAAGGTCCAACATAATAACCTGCATGTGCCTCCACGCACATGGGATGGCCCTTTAAAAGGGAGGGCCTGGCTGTGGGAAGCCAGAGACAGCTGGGCCACTGGCAGTGAGGGAGAGTGAGGATGGCAGAGACCAGTGCCCTGCCCACTGGCTTCGGGGAGCTCGAGGTGCTGGCTGTGGGGATGGTGCTACTGGTGGAAGGTGAGCCAGGCAGAACCTGGGGTGCAGCGGGGGCCCAGTGGGTTCTGAGGACCCAGGCCACCAGTGTGGAGCTGGCAAGGAGAGGAGAGGTCCCCAAACCCAGCTGGGTGTCCGGTCCCATTGGCTGCCTTCCCCTCTGTGCCCGGACTCGGGGGGTGTTCTGACAATTGAACCTGTGAGGTGCAGCACACTGCCCGCTGGGAGCAGAGAGGAAGCCAGGCAAGGGTCAGGGAGGGAGGGACTTTGAAAGGGGACATCTGCCCAGGAGATGATCAAGAGCCAGGCTTTAGGACTTTTCATGTCCCTCCAGCCGGGAGAAAATTTAATCCACTCCTTGGAAATCCTGCTGAGAATCCCACATAAGATCAGTCCCCCAAAAGGCTCTGGGGACAGACAGCTCTGCCTCCTGCTCTTGTGTGGCTGGAACCAAGTCCCTTCAGCTCTCTGCCCTCAATGCCTTGACATTCCGAATGGGTGGTTGTAAAGATTAAATGGGATAATGGGTATAAAGTGCTAGCCTAAATAGACTCTAGGGTATTTAAGTTCATTCACTCCCATCCTCTCCAGCCCCACCACTATTTTCACTGTGTCTACTCCTATGAGCCCAAGCACTTCACCTCTGGAGGCAACCTGGGTCTGCGAGGTACCTACCTCAACCTAGAATCCCTAAGATGCTCGCTGAGGCCAGAGCTAGAGACAGTGTCAATCCTGAATCTGGGCCAGCCCAAGCTAAATTGATGGAGAACGCAGCTTTGGTTCAAAGCAGACCCAGAGAAATCATCAGCACGTTTTCTCACCTAATGAGAACTGACAATGGAGAGGAAGTGACAGTCATTAGATTGGTCCTGAAGGCTCTGGACACGACTGTCTGGTGGCCCCAGCCCGTGTCTCCCTTTCCTGAGAACCCTACAATCTAGCATCCTTCCAGGTCCTCAAACATGCCATAAAATTTTACCACTTTATTTTTTGGAAGGGGTTTAAATTTACATTTTTATTTCATGTTTAATGACTAGAAATGTCATTATATACACAATGCTTTGGTTTTTATTTTATTTAAAATATGTTTTAAATTTCAATAGCTTTGGGGATACAAGTGATTTTTGTTTACATAGATGAATTACATCGTGGCAAATGCTAGGACTTTAGTGCACTCATCACCCAAGTAGCGTACATTGTGCCTCATTTGTAGGTTTTTTTAATCCCACTCCCTCTCCCACCCTTCCCCTTCTGAGTCTCCAGAGTCCATTGTGTCCTCTGAATGCCTTTGCGTACTCACGGTTTAGCTCCCACTTGTAACTGAGAACAAACAGCATTTGGTTTTCCATTCCTGAGTTACTTCACTTACAATAATGGCCTCCAGCTCCATCCAAATTGCTGTAATAAGACATTATTTCATTCCTTTTTACAGCTATTATTCCATGATGTATATATACTACATTTTCTTTATCCATTCATTGGTCAGTGGGCACTTACATTGATTTCGTATCTTTGCAATTGTGAATTGTGCCTCGGTAAGCATAGATGTGCATGTGTGTTTTTGGCTGGATTAAATGGCAGATCTACTTTTAGTTATTTAAGGAATCTCTATACTGTTTTCCATAGAGGTTGTATTAATTTACATATTCCCACCAGCAGTGCATAAGCATTCCCTTTTTACCACATCCATGGCATTGATCTATTGTTTTTTGACTTTTTAATGATGGTCATTCTTATAGGAGTAAGGTGGTATCTCATTGTACCATAGCATGTCTTTGCACATGCTATTCCCTCCTGGAATGCTCTTCCATGCACTGTCCTGCAGGTAAGTGCTTCTCATAGTTTTGAAGGCAGGATTTTTTCCTGTTCCTCACTTTAGATAGGGGAAGCTGAGGTTCAGAGAGCTTAAGGAGCAGCAAGCGAGGCAACCAAGCCAAAATTCAAGGTCGGGTCTCTCTGTTGCCAGAGTACGCCCCCTTCATGTTCACTTCCATGCCTGGCGTCCTGGGCAGCTCCCAGCTCTAACATCGACTCTTCTCCTTGGAGCCTCTCTGACTTTGCTCTACAGTCCTTGGAGAAGGCATTTTGAAATCCAAAAGGCCTGAATTCAAGTTCCAGCTCCACCGCTTACTAGCTGTGTACTTAGGGCAAGTTAGCTAGTGTCTCTGAGCCTCAGTTTCCCAGCTATAAATGGAGAAGAGAGTATCCAAGTAAAGATTGAATGAGATGACTCATATAAAGTGCTTATCCTGGTGCCTGGTGTGTGCTAAGTGCCTGGCAGCTGTCAGTGATTATGACTGTTATAGCATGAAGCATGCTACCCTATATTGATTGTCTTCCTTGTCTGTCCAGGAGGTTGCTGATGTTCCATCCACCCCACACACACTGTTCTGACCCCAGCTGGGCCTCAGCAGCCCCAATGCCAGCCCCCACCCTTCCTTTCAGCTCTCTCCGGTCTCAGCCTCAATACCCTGACCATCTTCTCTTTCTGCAAGACCCCGGAGCTGCGGACTCCCTGCCACCTACTGGTGCTGAGCTTGGCTCTTGCGGACAGTGGGATCAGCCTGAATGCCCTCGTTGCAGCCACATCCAGCCTTCTCCGGTACCAGCCCCCTCCCCAGTCCACAGGCTCTGGGGTCCTGCCTGGGGCCTGACCCCTGGGCCCTGGGCAGCCAGGCCAAGGGCATTTTTACTACTTACAGAAAATTGGCCAAGGGCAGAGGGTGGGCAGGCTAAAATGGGCTGAATTCCAGATTGATTCTGAAGAACGACAGCTGATTTCTGGAAGACAGGGGTTGCTGAAACCTGATGAAAGAGATGGTAGGCTGTAGAGATCAATGGTGTGGGTTCTGTAACCAAGCAACCTAGGTTTGCATTCTGGCTTCAGCATTTCTAGTTCTGGGCTTCTTCCATAAATCGGATATTATTTCCTAACTCATATAGGTGGTTGGAAGTATTTACTTCTATTATGTGTAAATAACTTAAAATAATGCTTGATACCTAGGACTCTACGTAAGTGTTTGTGAACACAAATGGGGGCGTTATCACCACTACTGCACCCGTATGTATCTGGGCTCCTGGAGTGGAGGGACACCGATGCAGTGTGGAGAGGATAAGAGGCAGGGAGGGGCAGTCATAACTAGCTAGTGTCTAATACCTCCTTATACAAAAACCAGGGTCTTCCATCACAGCTTCAGAAGGTGTTTATAAAATTGTTTTCTGAAGCAGACTGGACATTCTCATTCTGGTTTTGGACACTACAGACGGAGGCTGGAGCCCCCCCGGATGTGCATGCTCAGTGCTGACCAGCCTGGGGGGTCTGCATCAGTGAGAACTCTTCCTCCCACAGAGAATTGAAGTTTCCACCTTTGCTTGCCCTTTTAGGCTGGGGAGGCCTGGGATCTCCCCTCTGACTTTGCCTTCATCTTCTGTGTGACCTTGGCTTCAGTATCTTTGCCTCTTTGAATGTCAGTTTCCCCACCTATCAAATACAGGCATGAGCTCTCCTGTGACAGAGGGATCTGATCACGCAGAGAGAGCCTATGGCCCAACCATGGTGCAGTCAAAGTCACCCAGCCTGGAGAGTGTGCATTGGGCTCCACCCCTTCAGCCCAGTTACTTGAGCTCCAACGCCTCATAGGAAAGACACCAATATTAAGGCCCTCTTCAGAGAAGAAGGGCAGCATTCAGGAACACACACTCCAAGCTGTACTTGGCAGGTGTGGGAGGTGGAAAGGATCGGAGGAGAGGTCACTGGTGCCCAGTGTCTCCCACAGGCGCTGGCCCTACGGCTCGGACGGCTGCCAGGCTCACGGCTTCCAGGGCTTTGTGACAGCGTTGGCCAGCATCTGCAGCAGTGCAGCCATCGCATGGGGGCGTTATCACCACTACTGCACCCGTATGTATCTGGGCTCCTGGAGTGGAGGGACACCGATGCAGTGTGGAGAGGATAAGAGGCAGGGAGGGGCAGTCATAACTAGCTACTGCTCCGTGTTTCCCAGTACAGGGAAGTGTGGGTAGGTGTGAGTGTGCATGCATAGGCACTCATTTCAGGAAAGGAGGGAGGGTGGGAGAGTGTGCAGGAGAGCTGTTGGGCCTCTCTTGCCATTACCGCAACCTTGGGCAAGTCAGGGATCCTCTCTGAACCTTAGTCTCCTCCTCTGCGAAATGATTTTCTTTTTCTTTTTGAGACGGAATCGCTCTATTGCCCAGGCTGGAGTGCAGTGGTGTGACCTCGGCTCACTGCAACCTCGGCCTTCTGGTTTCAAGTGATTCTTTTGCCTCAGCCTCCTGAGTAGCTGGGACTACAGGCATGTGCCACCACACCTGGCTAATTTTTGTATTTTTAGTAGAGATGGGGTTTCACCATATTGGCTAGGCTGGTCTTGAACTCCTGACCTCGTGATCTACCCACCTCAGCCTCCCAAAGTGCTGGGATTACAGGCGTGAGCCACCGTACCCGGCTGAGATGATTTTAATAACCAATCTCAGTTTTATTTTGAAAATGAAATGAGATCAGGGATACAGAAAATGCCCTTGCAGACAGGCACTACTCTGCAGACAGGCGCAGAGAGGCTGTGTGTATGTGTGTGTAGCTGGGCATGTGCCCTGGCACCCCACACTTCCATGAGGCTTCATGAAAACTGTCCAGCTCTAGATTTCACAAGCTGCACTGTCAAATACCATCTTCATAATTGGCCATATCAGTGTACAAACTGCTCCATTTTTCCTTAATTTTTTTTTTCTTAAAAGTGACTCATTTTTTAAAATGTAAACACCTGCTACAAGCTCATTCTAAACAACATCTGGGAAATCACAGGTTTAATGTTCTTATAATTTTAATACAATTAAAATAAAAACCTGTTCACCAGAGACCATCTAGAACCCTGTTTACCACCAGGGGTACATAAACATGTTTTGGGGAGCTGTGGCTCAGCTAACCCTCCTAGCAAACCTTCAGCTCACAGCCTCGGAAGCAGAGGCACAGAGAAGTTAAGCAGCTTGCCTCGCTACTAAGGGCAGAGCCAGCACTGGGCATGACCTGGTACCTCCAAGTCCTGAGCTATGAATTTGTCCAGCACAGAGGCTGCTGTGAGGTCTATAGCCAGCACAGCCTCAAACCATGGCATGTCCTCTTTGGAATCCACAGAACTTCCCTTGCCATAGTCACATGTATAGCCCCCTTCCCTGAAAATTCACTGCCCCTCATGGGTCTCTCCTGTCATATGCCTCTCTCCAGGCCAAAATGCTGCCATCGGTCTCATCATTTTGAGTGGCGATAGGTTAGCCCTCTTGTCCACTTGGCCTCAGAGCACTTCTCCCACTCCTTACATCCCAGCCCCTGCCCCTAATGCTCCCTTGGACCATCTTATACACACACACACACACACACACACACACACACACACACCACCTTCTCAGATAGCAACAGGCTTCTCTGCCTCAATATAGAACAGTTAATCCCTGTGCCAGAGGCCTTAGATCAAAGCCCTTTCTATACTGAGAGCATGGCAGAGCAGTGTGAAGGCAGGCAAAGGGGAATGAGGAGGTCTGAATTCATCTACTCCATCCCTGGGTGGTTGTAGGCATGTCACCTTGGCCATCTGTTTCTAAAGCTGAAAGTCTGAGGCAGCACAATGGTCCAGGTAGATATTAATTATTGTGCCCACAGAGAATTGTTTGAACCTGGAAGGCAGAGGTTGCAGTGAGCTGAGATGGCACCACTGCACTCCAGCCTGGGCAACAGAATGAGACTCCGCCTCAATAAAAAAAAAAAAAAAAAGAAGAAGAAGAAGAAGAAAAGAAAAGGCCAGGCATGGTGGCTTATGCCTGTAATCCCAACACTTTGGGAGGCTGAGGTGGGCAGATAACTTGAGGTCAGGAGTTCGAGACCAGCCTGGCCAACATGGTGAAACCCCATCTCTACTAAAAATACAAGAATTAGCTGGGCATGGTGGCATGAGCTTGTAATCCCAGCTACTTGAGAGGCTGAGGAAGGAGAATCGCTTGAACCTGGGAGGTGGAAGTTGCAGTGAGCCGAGATCACGCCACTGCACTCCAGCCTGGGTGACACAGCAAGACTCTGTCTCAAAAATTTTTTTAAAAAAAGACAGGAAGAACTGACATCTTAACTATATTGAGTCTTCCTGTCCTTGCACGTAATTATCGTGCCCACAGTTGGGATGGGAGGTGTCTTAGTCTGCCCAGGCTCCTATAATAGAATGCCATCGACTCGGTGGCTTGAACAATAGAAATTTATTTCTCAGTTATTCAGGCTGGGAAGTCCAAATGCGAGGTGTCAGCATGGTCAGGTTCGGTGAGGGCTTGATTCTTGGTTTATAGATGTTCACCTTCTTGCCATGTCCTCACATTAAAAGAGAGAGATTGTCACTCTTGTGTTCCTTCTTTCATTTTTTTGAAACAGAGTCTCACTCTATTGCCCAGGCTAGAATGTAGTGGCACCATCTCAGTACACTGCAACCTCCGCCTTCTGGGTTCAAGCAATTCTCCACCTCAGTCTCCTGACTAGCTGGGACTACTGGCGCATGCAGCATGTCCAGCTAATTGTGTCCCTTCTTATAAGGGCACTAATCACATCATGGGGGCTCCACCCTTATGGCCTAGTTATCTCCCAAAGGCCCCACCTCCAAATGCCATCACATTGGGGATTAGGGCTTCAACATATAAATTTGAGGGGACACAAACATTCAGTTCATATCAGAAGGTCACATCCAAGCAAACTCCATCTGGAGCCGTATCAGTAGAAGCAAACTGTCAGATGAGGGAGGTTGTAGACATGCTCTTCTCTCCCGATCAAAACCCATCTGGAGAACTGTCCTCTGCCCTGGTATCTTATATACAAAGGAGTATGACAAAAAAACAGTAGACAGAGGAGGGCACCTGGGAAGTGCATCCTGAAGCCAGATCCAGGAGGAACCACTGAATGGGAAGGACCCAATGACACTGCAGCAGAGAGGGGGGCTTCAGGGAAGGGACTAGAGGAGGTCAAATCAGCATGGCTGGTTCATATCAAAAGATGCTGCTGGGACCCAGCCTCTGCCATTGGCACTGAGATTGAGCCCCAACCCCCGAGTCAAGCATTCTCAGAGGGTGTCCTGGAAGCAGGGGCAGTGGCCTGATTCTGAGCAAGTGCTGAGGATGGTGGTAAGTCCAGACTTCTGCCTCCATCCCCTATGACCCTCACCTGAACCCCTGCCTATGCTTCTTCCTGAACTTTGTCTCTGAAAACGTATCTGTCTCTTTGCCACTCCCTCGTCTCTGTCCTCTGAAGAAGATGGTATAGTGTGTCTATTTGGAGACCTTCACCATCCATTATCTATTTCATTCTTCATAACAATCCTCTGAGGCAAGGATTATCATTCCCATTGTGGGCGAGAATACTGGGGCTCAAAGAAGCTCTTCACTTGCCTGAGGCTCTGAGTTATTAAGCATCAGAGCTGGGGTTCTCATTTTGGTGAGTTGCTTAGTTAACCCCTCTCTCAGCCTCAATTTTTTAGACCGTAACACAGGGATAAGAAAACCTCCTTCTGGCAGGATGTAGTGGCTCAATCCTGTAATCCCAGCACTTTGGGAGACTGAGGCTGGTGGATCACTTGAAGGGACACTCTTCGAGATCAGGAAGTCCATTCTTTCTCACTCTATCAGGCCATCTCCTCCTCACAACCTCCTCTTCTTCCTCTGTCCTGTGCAGGTAGCCAGCTGGCCTGGAACTCAGCCGTCTCTCTGGTGCTCTTCGTGTGGCTGTCTTCTGCCTTCTGGGCAGCTCTGCCCCTTCTGGGTTGGGGTCACTACGACTATGAGCCACTGGGGACATGCTGCACCCTGGACTACTCCAAGGGGGACAGGTGAGGTGGGAGGAGCAGCTTCGAGGCTCCTATCCATGGGAATCTTGGCTTTGAACTCCTATGACAAGGGTGCCCCAGCTGAAAATCCAAATGGGGAAATGTCAACGTTTGCCAGACAATCTCAACTTCTTAATCATGATACCCACCTGCAGGTGGACAGTGGGACTGGAAAAAGCCTGTTCTGAAAACTGGCCAGGTGATGGGAATGCTGTGAAAATTGGGACCCAGAGTTGAACCCAAAAAGAGACATCATACAGGGAGCCATTGGCTTGTGTCAGTGGTAACAGTCACCAAGCCGCACCACCTCTTAGCCATCTTCAGCACAGTCGACCATCATGGCTCTGACCTCATCAATTTCTAGAGGGAGCCACGCCCTTGGTACAATAGATTCAAAGAACATTAAGGTCCTTGCATTGGGAGGGAATGCCCTGAGCATACGCTATGAGGCAATCCCTGGAGAAATAGGACAGAATGCATGAGGGTCCCCACCCTCATGGGGCTCGTGTTCTGGTACTGCCCCATCAGGAGGCTCTAGGGAGACAAGGGCTTAGGGGGATCCTTTAGGAACTGCCTTGAGGAATGGTCACATGGGCTCCAGCCCCTCTTGCTTCCACCAGAGCCAAGTTGCATTCATCTGCTTTACCCATGGTGTTTAATCATGAGGCATCTGCACTGGATGACAGGCTTTCCAGGTGATGCATTCTTGAGAACGCTGGGCCTGGTCCAAGTGTCCCTCCATGGCACTCCCCAGCCAGGGTCCAGTCCTTCCAGCTGCCCCTCCCTGGTGGACGGCTCCAAGGTGACATAGTCTTCCCTTCAGAAAATGGGAATCTGTCTCCCTGGGACTCCCACTATTCCCTTCACCTCCCCATGACCACTACCTGGGAACCCAAGCTCTTCTGTGGTGCCTTCAACCATTTCTTCAGTGACACAGTATCCAGTCTTCTTGTTATCCCGTCTCCTTTTAAAACCTTTGGGCCTAGAATGCTCCTTGAATGTTCCTTTCTCTTGGCCCACTGACATCCCCACCATTGGGTGAACATGTTTCCCAAACTAAAATTTCCCATTCTTCATGCTTGGGGGACAAACAGGAAAGCAGGGCTGAGCACTTGAACAAGAAAGAGGCCTCTTCCTCCTTGTAGCTCCCTGGCTCCTAAAGGGAGTTCACCTGGGACCCGGGAGCAACCACACTGCGAGCTTGTCTGAATGGGGCATTTCCCCACAACCGATCATCTAGGGCAGAGCTGGTGGGTCCTTGAGGGCAGCTGGCCATCCCTGAGAGCTAACCCCAATCCTCCACCCGCTCTCCCTGTAGAAACTTCACCAGCTTCCTCTTCACCATGTCCTTCTTCAACTTCGCCATGCCCCTCTTCATCACGATCACTTCCTACAGTCTCATGGAGCAGAAACTGGGGAAGAGTGGCCATCTCCAGGTAAGGACCCCCTTCCGGAGTGTTATCTGATGGTGCAGCGCAGCTCCAGGCTCTTGGTGTCCCGAACAAAGAATTGGATGTGACACACACAAACAGCAAAACAAATATTCATTGCTTTTGCAGCAAAAGCTTATTCAGCACAGTATTACACTCTCAGAGAGGGGAGGGTGGACCAATCTCTGCGAAGTGAGATCAGCACCAGTTTGGTGTATTTTGGGCTCTTTTATATGTTTATTTTTCTTCTCTTCCCAAGGCTGCCTAATCTCTAGCCAGCATCTGCCTTTTGATTGATAGGTGGGTTGCTTATGTTACTTTGGCCCTTGTGTGCTTGCCTGTCACCTCCATCCCATAATCTTAAGTACATGCATGATATGCAGTCCATATGCATCAGCTTTAATAAGCTTATTATCATACGGGGTCATTTTAAGGATACTTTTTCTCTCTAATGCACATGCGCATCTCTGAGGAGCTGCCCCTGACAGGTTTGGTCCAGACCTAGCTGGCCACAGGAGCTTCTTACTCACTTTTTAATCTTATTTGTGTTTTGGTTGCTCAACTTCTGTTTCTTGTCTTGCTTCTTGCTCACTGCCTCTTCACCTTGCTTCTGCTTCTACTCATTCCGCCCTTTAACCTCCAATTCCCTCTGCTATTCTCCTGCCTCAAGAGCAGCAGTAATTTCTCGTTTCCTCTCAGGGACACCAGGGAATATGAACAATGTGACAGACAGCAACCAGGGGTTTTCTGCGTTTTCAGTGATCAAGAGAAAATCCAGCTTGTGCACAGCATAGGATGTTAGAACTGGAAACCACCCTCCCTTTGCTCAGATCGCCAAGGCCTGGGGAGCAAGGATCAGGACTGCTCAGATTCACCCAGACCCCGTAACTCTGGGGACCAGGGCTCCCTACTGGACACATCCGTGCTGTTCCACTTAACTCTTGCCAAGGATGTGAGGTTTGGCACAAAGTTACAGGCTTTTTAAATGCTACTTTTAAACCGCTTTGAGATGTTTAATTTAATCACAGTCACAGGGTGGTGCCCAAAAGATAAAAATCAACCTATAAGCACATTTGTCCAAGAAATACAATACTTCAAAATAAGCCCTCCTGGCCATTTTTTAGTTTCTGAATTACTATTCCCTTGCCACGGTTTTATTTTAACTTGGTCACCTGGATGACCTCTAGCAAAGGAGTCGTAACAAGCAACAAAGATTAGAACAAATTCAGATCTTAATATTATTTCTTTGCAACCACTCTATGAGGAAAGAGGTTTTCTTTCTTTTTTTTTTTTTTTTTTTTTTTTAGGCCGAGTTTCACTCTTGTTGCCCAGGCTGGAGCGCAATGGTGTGATGTCGGCTCACCGCAACCTCCGCCTCTGGGGTTCAAGCGATTCTCCTGCCTCAGCTTCCCGAGTACCTGGGATTATAGGCATGTGCCACCACACCCACCTAATTTTGTATTTTTGGTAGAGACGGGGTTTCTCCATGTTGGCCAGGCTGGTTTCGAACTCCTGATCTCAGGTGATCCGCCCGCCTCCGCCTCCTAAATTGTTGGGATATAGGCGTGAGCTGCCGTGTCCAGCCTTTTTTTTTTTTCTTTGTTTCTTTTTTTTTTCCTTTCTTTTTTTTTTTTTTTTTTTTTTTTTTTTTGAGACAAGGTCTTACTCTGTTGCCCAGGCTGGAGTGCAGTGGCAATCTCGGCTCACTGCAACCTCCGCCTCTCGGGTTCAAGCGATTCTCCTGCCTCAGCGTCCCTAGTAGCTGGGATTATAGGCACCTGCCACCACGCCTGGCTAATTTTTGTATCTTTTGTATCTGTTGGCCAGGCTGGTCTTGAACTCCTGACCTCAGGTGATCCACCCACTTCAGCCTCCCAAAGTGCTGGGATTACAGGTTTGAGCTATCGTGCCGGCCAGAAGGAGGTTTTCTTATCCCTGTGTCGCGGACTAAAAAATTGAGGCTGAGATGGGGGTTAACTAAGCAACTCACCAAAAACCACACACCTGGATTCAAACCTAGGTCTGGGACTCCACCACCCATGTGGTCAATCACAGTGCATGAAAGAAACTCTTTTTTTTAAGTCACTTCATCTGCCACTTTATTTATTTATTGTAAATTGGAAAAGGACTGTGCAAATCTATTTTAGCTGGAGCCCCGATGCTCCCCCGAGGTCAGAAGGAGAGAAAGGGCTTTCCTGGGACCAGAATCCAGTCCCCTGGCTCCCAGCTGGCTGCTGGCATAGGCGCCGCTTCTAGGCTGTCCTCCGCGATGCCGGTCCCAAGCCCTGTCTGGAGGTGCAAAGTTCACATTTACTGGAGGCTCAGGCAGCCGGGAGACAAGGCTGCCACCATGATCTCCTCATTTTTCTGCGTTGACTTTAAACCATTGTCTCTGGTGGGCATCGCCAAGGTCACACGCAGGGGTCCAGGGACCTCATCCCAAGCTGAGCGGCTTCCCGAGACCGCGTAGCCTCCCCAGGGGATTCCACGTCTTAGGGCCTCGGCTCCCGGGAGGGCCCCGAGGTGCTGAGCTCCGTTGTTCGTGGGTTTTTTTTTCCCCAAATAAGGGACAGTTAAGAGGAAAAAAAAAGTCTCTTGGTCAACATATTTTAATAATCCAAGATGGAAGAAAATATGCCCTCTTCCAGCTTAATCACCCTCTTTGTTAAAGAAAGTCAGGTCAGGGAGAAAACAGGCAAGAACTTGAGCGTCAGAATTGCACGTCCGCGTGTTTGTGCGGGGCTGGAACTTGGCAGCTCCCGCTGAAATTAAAGCGCGAGTCTTGCGCCCCCTCATGGCCCCAGGCGGCACCCCAGCATCTCCCGCTCTCTGGACAAGCCCCTCCCCCGCTGATTGTATTTCACATTGGGAGCCCAGACAGGGTGGTCTCGCCGGGTGGCTGTAGCTGTGGATGACGAGTTGGTTCTAGGACTGAGGCCTGAGGGCAGCTCAGCCTGGGGCCCCTTGAGCACGCAGTCACAGAGCCCAGGATTCCTCTTAAAGAGCACAGACGCAGGCCAGGCACAGTGGCTCATGCTTGTAATCCCAGCACGTTGGGAGGCCGAGGCAGGAGAATCCCTTGAACCCAGGAGTTCGAGACCAGCCTAGGAAACATAGTGAGACCCCTTCTGTATTTGACAAACAAAGAGTACAGACCCAGGAGGAAGCGCTCATTATCCACCCAGTCTCGGCCTCCAGCCACGTTGGGTATTGTCAGGCCATTTTACAGACACAGCAGCTGAGGTCAGGCAAGTTTAAATAAAAGGCTTAAGGTCACACAGTCTTAAACAACAGAGAGGCCCATCTGGTCCCAAGTTCCCCTGCAGACTCAGCCCCCTCCTGAAGCCTGGTCCATGCTGCCCCGCCCTGCTGAGTGCTGACCTGGTTTTCTTGGCCACATAGGGCTGTGGGCCACCTGGAGCAAGCTGACATCTCCTGTGACAATTTCTCCCCAGGTAAACACCACTCTGCCAGCAAGGACGCTGCTGCTCGGCTGGGGCCCCTATGCCATCCTGTATCTATACGCAGTCATCGCAGACGTGACTTCCATCTCCCCCAAACTGCAGATGGTACAGATACTTCTAGTACCTAAAACTAGACCCCTCTCCATCTTTGTTCTCTGTCTCATCTCATCTCACTTTCTGGATTTATGACCTCTGTGTCAGTCTCTTCCTTTCTGTGTTTCTTCCTTTGGATACTCACAAGGCATAGAGCATTAGTTTGCCCCCCTAATCCCCCACCTCGTCTCTGAGTCATACCAGGCTGCTGCTTGACATTGCCCAAACCTCATGTGAGATGACAGGGACAGCCAGCCAGATGGTGTAGATAAAGACTCTGTGACCAGGGGTTGAGATTAGTCCCCAGGCTGGGAGCAGGTGGGTCTGGACAAGAGTATGGCTCCATGGACTCCGTGAGCCATGCATCTCCACCAACTAGTCAGGGAAGCCTCCAAGGCTGCAGAACTAAATGATTGGCAGTTGTAGGTGGAGGGTGACCGGGGTCACCAGGTGAGACCAGAGAGAGGATCAGTGGCTTTGAAGCTTCTTTTCTGGACTTTTCTGCCACAACAGGTGCCCGCCCTCATTGCCAAAATGGTGCCCACGATCAATGCCATCAACTATGCCCTGGGCAATGAGATGGTCTGCAGGGGAATCTGGCAGTGCCTCTCACCGCAGAAGAGGGAGAAGGACCGAACCAAGTGAGCCTGCCACCCTGGAGTGAGCCCCAGGCCAGGAGGCTGTTCCAGGAGTCCTGCCCAGCAGCCTCAGTGGCCAAGCCCAGACACTCACCCACCTTCCCCAGTGGCCCCGTGGATCCTGGTCCTAGGCTGGACACAGGATTCAGAAAGACACCAGGCTGCACAGAAAGAGCCAGATGGACCTGAGTGTCGGTCACAGCCCCCTACACTCAAGGCTGAGAGGCCTCAGGAAAGTCATTCCTTTTTAAAAATAATAATAAATGTAAGGGGGTACAGTGCAGTTTTGTTACATGGATAGATTGCCTAGTGGTGAAGTCTGGGCTTTTAGTGTAACCATCACCCTAATAATATACGTTGTACCCATTAAGTTATTTCTCATCCCTCACCCCCTCCCACCTTGTCACCCTTCTGAGTCTCCAATGTCTATTATTCCACACTCCATGTCCACGTGTACACATTATTTAGCTCCCACTTACAAGTGAGAACATGTGGTATTTGACTTTCTGTTTTTGAGTTATTTCACTTAAAATAATGACCTCCAGTTTCATCCATGTTGCTGCAAAAGACATGATCTCGTTCTTTTTTATGGCAGTGTAGTATTCCATTCCATATACATATATAAACGTTATATATATGTAACGTTTTCTTTATCCAATCATCTGTTGATGGATAGATTCCATATCTTTGCTACTGTAAACAGCTGTGATAAGCATACAAGTGCAGGTTTCTTTTTGATATACTGATTTCTTTTCCTTTGGGTAGATACCAGTAGTAGGACTGCTGGATCAAATGGTAGCTCTATTTTTAAGACAGTATGGAGAAATCACCATACTGTTTTCCATAGGGGTTGTACTAATTTACAGTCCCACCAACAGTGTATAGGTGTTCCCTTTTCTCTGCATCCTTACCAATATCTGTAATTTTTTGACTTTTTAATAATAGCCATTCTCACTTGTGTGAGATAAGGTCTCATTGTGGTTTTAATTTCCATTTCTCTGATGACTTTTGATGTTAAGCATTTTTTCATATGCTTCTTAGCCACGTGTATGTATTCTTTTTGAAAAAATGTTTATTCATGTCTTTTGCCCACTTTTTAATGGCATTATTTGGATTTTTTTTGTTGAGTTATTTGAGTTTCTTATATATTCTGGATAATAGTCTGGATAATATATTCTGGATAATATATAATAGTCTTATATATTCTGGATATATTCTGGATACATGGTTTGCAAATATTTTCTCCGGTTCTGCACGTTGTTCATTCTGTTGATGGTTTATTTTGCTGTGCAGAAACTTTTTTAGTTTAATTAAGTCCCATTTGTCTATTTTTGGTTTTGTTGCTTGTGCTTTTGAGGTTTCTGTCATGAATTCTTTGCCTAGACCAATGCCCAGAAGAGTTTTTCCTAGATTTTCTTCCAAGATTTTTATAGTGTCCATTCTTACACTTAAGTCTTTAATCCATCTTGAGTTGATTTTTTTTTTTTTAAGACGGAGTCCTGCTCTGTCACCCAGGCTGAAGTACAGTAGCACCATCATAGCTCACTGCAACCTTTGCCTCCCAGGTTCAAGCAGTTCTCATGCCTCAGCCTCCTAAGTAGCTGGGATTACAGGCATGCGCTACTATGTCTGGCTAATTTTTTGGGGTTTAGTAGAGACAGGGTTTCACCATGTTGAACAGGCTGTCCTCAAATTCCTGACCTCAGGTGATCCACCCACCTTGGCCCCCAAAGTGCTGGGATTACAGGCATGAGCCACCGTGTCTATCCTTGAGTTGATTTTTATATATGGTAAGAGATATGGGTCCAGTTTCATTCTTCTGCATATGGCAATTTAATTTTCCCAGCACCATTTATTGAAAAGGTGTCCTAACATCACTCCTTCTAAATCCTCTAACCCTTAACATAAGGATGTTAACATGGACATCACAGGGTTGTTGTGAGGCTTGAAGATAACATGTACTCACTAAGCACATAGAAAATACTCATTAAAACAGAGCTGTTCGTTAAGTCTTGGCCATGCCTTGCAGGGACTCAGTCTTACATAGAAAGGGGTAAAAGCCCCAGGGTTTGCTTATGGGACCTCAAGCCAGGCTGCCAGCATTCAAACACCATGTATTAAATCGTGATCTGCTGCCCGTCACTTCCTCTGCCTGTGCATCGTTTCCCAAGTTGGGAGGTGAGATGATGGAAGTGGCAACTTGACTACACAGAAAGGACCAGAACATTCCCTGTCATGGTAAGTGCTCATGGAGTATCAGCCACCAGTACATGCCAGTCAAAGACAGCCTCTGGTAATACGGGGCTAGGCCTGCACATTACTTTAAAATGTTTTGAGGTTTGTTGCCAACATTTAAAAATCAGGACAGTTTATTTAAATCCAGATGTCAGAAGATGAGGCTTTACCCGGCTGCCTTCCTACATTGTTACAGTTTGTAGAGCTCAGGGCAGCTCGGCCCTTTGCCCAGGACACATGCTCTTGTGTCAACCTCAGTGCCTGTGTCCCCTGTTGATCCTGTGGGCCTCTGGGTTTGTGACAAGAGCCATCCCGAGTCCCCAAGAGAAAGAGACGAGGCCGAACACATCAGCGTCCTCATCTGTGCTCAGAGGAGAGGCAGGGAGGAAGGTGGTTTGGTTAGGCTGCTTTCAGGGATGGCTTAAGCTCAAGCCTTGCATCCCCAAGGCTTCCCGCAGGAGTGAAAGGAGGGCTTGGGAATGGCCACCCTGGCCTGGGTTGGCAGGAGATGGGAAGGGCTGAAGCAGCACCTGGTGAGGAATGACCAGAGTCCCGCCTGAAGCTACTCACTTCAGAAGCCCCATGTCGGCCCACACCCCCCAATTCCCACTCATGGAGTGGGCTTGGGGAGACTCATCACCTTCAGGCTCTTCTGCCCATGTTCCCAAGCACTTTTAGGATCTTGTCCCCTGTGACACTGCGTGCAGGGCTTCTTCTCTGCCCTCCTTCCCACTCACCCCACAACCTCCCCTGCACCCCTGCCTTCTTTTAAGCAGCTCAGCTGCCTCTGGGGGAAGAGGACAAAGAAAGTGGCTGAATCCTGTCTGAAGTCCACCTCCCTGTGGGCCCTTGGCACAGTCCCTGAGCTGGGATAGGAATCAGAGTCCGCCCATCCCTGGCACTTGGCCTGGCAGAAGTTAGACCACAGCCCTCAAAGGCCTAAATCCTTCTCAGGCTCGCTTTGCTCTGCGCAACCCCTAAGGTGATGGATTCACAGTCCTCAAGCTCTCTGCTGATTTTCTACAATGAATATGTACCACTTTTGCAATCACAAAAACATGTAAAGAGTAATGTTACTTCTACCTCCTTCAAGTGTTTTATCCCTGGCTGTAGTTGTATGTTCCCTGCAGAGCCTGTGGGCCTCTGGGTTTGTGACACTAATGCAGGAGTCCCCATCCCTGAATGTATATCTGTATATCTGGTGAGACCCGGGGCCCTGAAGGGAAATGGAGATGGTGGGCAAGGTGACTGAGGAAGTCTGATGATGAAGGCGCAGCTGACCCAGGACCGTGGAGGCAGGAGAAAGCAAGCTCCGTCCCACAGAGCGGAGGGGAAGAATAGATAAGCCCCATCAGTCTGAGTTTGCTGAGCGTCATTCCCCACCAGCCTTCCTCTCCTGCCTCCCTCCTAGGCTCCTCTGGAGCAACTGCTCACCCTTTCCTGGGCACCCCTTGGTCTTTTTTCTCCATTCACTTGTGACCCCTTAATGCCACCCCCTGCAGACACAATGAATTTTAGGGGGACACACCAACAAGGTCCCCCCGCCCATGTTAGTCATCACTAGCACCACAGTGCTCTCTCCAAGTTCCGTGCAGCCCTGGAGAACTGGGGCCACATTGTGGAAAGGGGAACAAGAGCAAGGTGAGAAGACTGAGTCTGGAGAAGTCAGGAAGGAAGAAAGAAGGGTGAAAATAGCAGAGACTGTGCTAGAGCCTCATCTGCAGAGCTCGAGGGCTCAGGGCATCTTCACTGGAGGCCCGGGGAACCAGCCTAACTTCTCCTGCCCTGGCCTCTAGCCACACTCTACACTAAAGACCACATTGATATGCAGACACACAGACTGGACTTGGAAGAGGCCACCAGGAGGTGGACGTCCAGAACCAGCAAGCATCAAGCACCAGAAAATGTCACCTCCAGCAATCACTTCCTCATTTGTAAGCCAGCATCCATTTGACCCCCTGAATCCCTGTCTGTGTCACTTAGTTCTGACATATTCACCTATCCATCCAATACGTATCTACTGAACAGCTGCTGTGTGTCAGACACGTGCTCGATGCGACGACGCAGTACCAAGATCCTTTCCAGATACTGCCAGAAAATGTCCACTGCCTCTTTGTCTCTTCGTTACATTTGTGAGTAAAATACAGGTGTTAACAATAGCTAGGAAATCAAAGATAGAAATTACGGTACAGCCATGTCCAAGTAAGTGAAATCAGGTATAATAATAAGGTTATCAAGATAGCCCAGAAATTTCCTTCAGAATCTCTGCAAGTCCTTATCACAAAACTAAACAGTTATCCCTGGCTCTAGATAAATTAAGCGTGCACTCTATGCTTCATTGTGTACTTGATTTAATTGTATTTCAAGAGAATTATCCCCCACTGAATTTCAATGTGTAGCCAATTTTAGCCCCATTCTGGATTTTTAAAATTTTCTGTTTGACTTGGAAATCACCATTTTTTTTCTTTTGTTTCTCTATTTTTTTAAAACCACATAGTCCTATGTAAGAAAACCACCATGATTTCTAAGAACAGTTTTCCCTAAATTGGCATCCACAGAGGAAGGCCCCATAACATGCACTCCTGTAGTGTGACCAGGCCTTGCCATCCCCTCGCTGGGTAACCTTGGGAGTCAAGACCCCCTCTGGCCCATCCCCTCTATCATCTCAGTCCCCCAGGGCTCTGACACAGGCAGAAGATTCTCAAACACTATCGAATTTTTTTTCTCCAAACTAGATGTTTGTGGTGGACTGAATGTTTGTGTCCCCTGAAATACCTATGTTGAAACCCAGTACAGTTAAATGAGGTCATAAGAGCGGAGCCCTGATCCCATAGGATTGTGTCCTTATGAGAAGAGACACCGGAGAGCCTGAGCTCCCTCTTCTCCCACCCCAAGCATATGTCCAGGAAAGACCATGTGAGCTCACTGTGAAAAGTTGGCCCAGCCCAAGGAGAGAGCCCTTACCAGACACCAACACTGCCGGCAACTTGATCTCCGACTTCCAGCCTCCAGAAATGTGCAAAATAAATTTCTGTTGCTTAAGCCACCCAGTCTATGTATTTTGTTACAGCCGCTTTAACAAACTAATACAGTGTTACATCAAAGCTCATCATTGAAACAGATGATAATGGAGGGGACCAACAGCCCAACTGGTGCCCCCAGCCCAGGAACACCCAGTGCCACTTCTGCAGAACCCGGGGATTGTAAAAATCCCATTTAAAAGTTATAAAATTTGGCTTCTAAGATCCCCTCCCACTCTAAGATCCATTGATTCTAGAATGTATTTGAGTTCTTTCACAAAGAAATGTAAGTACCGTAGAATATTATCACCCACCTCATCCTCTTGCTGGGAAAGATGGCTCTGCCTATTGCCAAATGGACTTGACATCACAAATAAAGTAGAAAGTTGTAACCAAGGTAAAGGATTGGCCCCTTCCGGAGACCTTCACTGGCACAATTTTCCTGGGGAGGGAAAGGGCTGTGCATTTGATTGTCTAGCAAGAAAGTAGATACCAACTAGATACTGCCTGAACTATACAGTATCTATATTCCCTGTTAAAGGGAAAAGGGATCCCACAAATTTTCTATATAGATAAATAAATTCATTGGCAAAGAAGTTGGCCTAATTTATTCATATCTTTCTTTTTGCCTCATAATTAATAGAATTTCTGCTGTTCTCCCTGTCAGAGATACTCCTGGTCCAATTCTCTCAAATACAAGCTCACTCTCCTTCCCACCACAACTGTCTCCCTTCTTGTGTTCCCTGTGTATGTAAATATCACTATTATCTGTCCTGTCATCTAAGGTAAATGAAGAGAGAAGGGAAAAGCAGAGATCCGACATGCATAAATACTCGCACTGGGCAGAATGTGAGGGTGGCGCAGTGCTCAGCAGGTACCACAAGGTGGCAGTGCCCTCTCAATGATCAGTACATCCTGAGCTGCCAGCCCTGATGGTAGTGCCTCTCCGCAGAGCCTGGGGGTCTCCTGCTGAGGCCGCGTGGGTGGGTTATTGATTCCTGCAGGATTTCCGACACGTTTTCCTTTGCCTGCTCGTGATACAGACGAAACCTGACACTTAACTGTTTCTACCTCAAATGATGACATGATTCCACATCTCTCTCTTTCTTAAAGGAAACACAGTGTCATGCACGTTGGCCAGAGGAGTCTTTGATGGCCCCATGGAGTCAGTCCCTTTTCTCTGTCTATAGAACAGCCATTGAATGTCTAGCCAAATGGAGGCCTCCAAAGCCCTGCACACCACAGCATTTTGATAAGAGGTCTGGGCCTGGGTTTTGTCTTTGTCTGACTGATAAGTCAGGGCAGTCCCTGGATTTCTCCAACCTGGGACTGTTCATCTGAAAAGTGGTGGTGATTAGCCCTCATGCTGTGATCATAGGTGGAAGAACACTGCAAACTATGGGGTGTGGGGCAGGAGGGTTCGGAGAAGCACCCCACTCCTCAGGCAGAGGCACAATAAATGACATTTGGCAATTGTGGGCAATGTTTCTAAGGTAACGAGGGCTGGGAAAGCACTGGGTGAAGGCCAGAGATATAATCCTTAAGTCTTCCCTCTGTTCTCGGTTGAGGTAACTTGCTGCTCCTCTCTTAAGCTGCTCCTTGGCCCCAACATCACACACCTGCTCTTCCCTCCATCCACCTGGCAGCTCTCACAATGGCCTCCATTATCCCCTGCACAGCATCCTCAGCTCAGCTGCCCTGCCCTCTGCAGCTGTCCAACACATGCACCGCCTTCGCCTTCTAGATCACAGCCAGCTTGGCAGATTGGAAAGGGCTCAGCTTTGGGTGTTGGAAATCCCTGGGCATGAATCCAGGATTTACCATTTATTCAATGTGACAAAGATTCTCTGCTTGACCAAACTCGAGTCAGGCTCTTGAACCTTCTTCTAGGCCCATCTCTGAACTTCCTTGTAACACCCAGTTGTAGCAAAGAACCCTATTAAGTTAGTTTAGCAAGAACCATCAGCCCTGGATATCTGATCAGGTTCCTCAGCCTGCACCATCCCCCAGGTGATTTCTGATCACCCTGGCCTGTCTTCAGCAAGAATCTTGTTCGATAGGTTTAGCCAGAATCCCTTTTATTCTTGATGTTTCATCTTAGTAATTTTCCATCCAGCAAACCACACCCTGCTCCTGGGCTATCGTTTCCGACTTGTCCATCTCTCTCACCCATTGCAACATTCCATTGCAGCTGTCCCTACACCTATAGCGATGGTCCTGAATAAAGTCTTTACCATGCTTTCACAAGTGTCATCGAATAGTATTTTTTAACAAATGTCTAAGCAAGTTCGAGCAAATTTTTTATCTCTGAGTTTGTTCCACATCCACAAGAATGGACTCATTTGGGTGGCATACTTTAAAGCACATGGTACCCGGTAGGTGCTCAATAGATATTAGATATGTTCCATCAGGGACTTCATCATCTACTCTTTGCTGTCACTCAAGAAAAGGGTGTGTAGGAGAATTGTGATAATTGACTGGCGATTACACACCACAAGTGTCCCAACTACTCCCTCATTTAATCCCCACAACATCCTCACAAGCACAGTTCTCAACTTCGTTTGCAAATTTGAATCACCTGGTTCCTGGTGACTCAATGTGTTATCCCTGCACTGGAAGCCCCAACCTCATTTGGGAGCTTGTTCGAAATGTCTCAGGGTTGGGCGTGGTGGCTCATGCCTGTAATCCCAGCACTTTGGGAGGCTGAGATGGAAGGATCACTTGAGTCCAAGAGCTGGACACCAGCCGGGGCAACATAGTGAGCCCTTGTCTCTGTAAATACATACATACACACATACATACATACATACATACATACATACATACATACATACATAAAATAAAAATTTTTTAAAAAGAAATGTCTCAGGCCCTCAAGTCTCAGGGCCCAGCTCAGAACTCCTTAATCCAAATCTTCATTTTAACGACCCCTAGAGTTGGTTTGTGTGCACCTTAAAACTTGAGAAGCCCCAGAGAGCCTTACAGATTATAGCTGTCTAGGTCCCTGGCACAGAGATTCTGATGTGGTAGGTTTAAAGGGCTGGCTGGCTTGGGCTTTTTAAGCTCCCAGGTGATTCTGATATGCAGCCATGAGTGAGAACCACCACTTTTGGGGAGTGGTATGAACAGTTCTGTTTCATGAAGAGTGATTTAACTGAGATTTACTCTGAGTTATCTCTGAGGCCATTGTTTGCTGTTTTATATTAATATATATTTCTCTCTAGGTGTTCATTCTTCTTCACTTGCTCTTGTTCTATGGCTTGCTCTCATCTTTCTCTTACTAATTCTCCCAAATTCCAAAGACCATAGGCCAGCAGGAGAGCCTCAGCCCAAGGCTTTTTATTTTATTATCATGATATCATCCACAAGATAATAGGGCCAGGGCTTTTAGTGGGCGCACTAAAGAATAAGAGGTTAATAATACTGCTGAAGGTCATACAGTAAATGAGAAAGCTTGGTTTGTGCCTCCTGGCACAGGGATTTTTGGATATCAGTGCAGGCAATGCACATCCAAGATGCTGTAGAGCAGCACTTCTCAAACTCTTCGGTGCACACAAATCACCTGGGATCTTGTTAAATGCAGACTCTGGTTCAGTAGGCCTGGGTAGGGACCAAGGATGCATTTCTAACAAACTCCCAAGTAAACCGATGTTACTGAGTTGCAGTGTGTTCAGCCAAAGCAACCGATTATGATCCTAGCTGCTCCTCCATCACTTCCCAGCCTCTGACTGGGTGTTCATTGTCTCTCACCTGCCAGATGATTCAGATCAATGTTTCAAGTTGTGTCATTGGACTGAGCTCTGAAAACCTCCATGCCAGGCCTAAGATGCCACTGGGTGGCGCTCTGGTGCACCTCCCTATGGCATTTCCTGTTGCCGCACAGCTGTTGGGTGTTCACCATTCAACAACAATTCAACAAATATTTATTGAGCCTAACTGTAAGTCAAGTTTAAACAAGACAGACAAGGTCCTCATGAGGGGCTTACATTGTACTGACAATAAACAAGTAAATGTATAAAAGAAATCGTTACAAATTTTGATAAGCACTTTGGAGGACATAAACTAGGGAACAGATAGGGAAGCTGGGAGAGGTGGTTGGGAAAGACCTCTCTGAAGAGGTGATATTCAAGCTGTGACTTAAACGATAATAATAAGGCTGTCAGGTGAGGGCAAAAGGAAAATATTTCAGGCAGAGGGAACAGCAAGTGGGAAAGGGAGTGGCTGTTCGAGGAGAGGCATGAGGCTGGGGCAGAAAGCCCAAAGAGAAGCAACGGGAGACGCAGGGGACATGTCCATCCAGTAGGGCTGGCTGGGATGGGGAAGGGGAACAGTGAGTTTTATTTTAAGAGCAAATGAAAATCTTTGAAAGGTTTTCATCAAGAAAGTAACCAGATCTGGTTTCCATTTTTAACTGATGTCTCTGGCTGCTGTTTGGGGGCTACATTGAAC
This sequence comes from Homo sapiens, assembly GCF_000001405.40. Classification (NCBI taxonomy): domain Eukaryota; kingdom Metazoa; phylum Chordata; class Mammalia; order Primates; family Hominidae; genus Homo; species Homo sapiens. Next base: position 84,268,337 of record NC_000010.11, read on the forward strand.
AGTAGAGGCTGAAAATTGAAGTAGGGATTGTTACAATAGTCCAGACCAAAGATGCTGCTGCCTTGAACTAGGTGGTGGTGACGATAACAGTGAGATATGGACAGATTTGTTACACAGTTTTAGAAACAGATGTTACATGACTTGCTAGTGGTTTAAGTAAGTTTATCAGTTTGGGTGCTTTTGATTTCAGGTAACAGAAAATGTAAATATTAACAGTCTGAAAAATAAGTGCAACTTACAGATTCCCACAAATGAAAAGTGGAAGAGTGGAAGCTTCATGCAAGGTTTGATCAGGTCTCCAGGTTTATTTTTCTGTGATTCTCAGGTCTGCCCTTTCTCTCTCCCACTCTCTATGTGTCCATTTATTCTTACGCTAACTTTATTAATAACTCCAAGATGGCTCCTAGAACAATATACGTACATGATTGTGAGTTAGTTCTGTTCACATATAGGAGGAAGCAAGCATCATTCCCAATAACCATAAAATAAAAATCTTGAGTTGGGGCTTGATTCGACCACTTCTAAACAAATCCCTGTTTCCAGGAGAATTAAAATGATAGTTGGCTTAATACTCCCATTAATCCCCAGCTGCCAATGGACTGATTAGCTTAGCTTAGATGGGATTTATTGGAAACCATCACCATAGGTAAGAGGGTGAAATTATTTTAATTTGCTTGTACCAATAAAGGTACGGGTGTAGTCAGACCTACACAAATGACATAGTTGCTGAGTAGTGGGAGAGGGCAGAATGGATGCTGTAGAGAAAATTTCCATTTCCATTTGTAAATGAGGTGAGAATCGAGGACATGGGAGTACATAAGGATGGTACCTAGGGTTTTGGAGGTGCCATATACCAAGATGAGGAAGACAAACCAGGCTTGGGGGAGAATAAATACAGATGCCTCTTAGATACTCAGGTATTTGGATCTAGTGAGCATTTAGGTCTAGTGAGCATCTGGAAATATGAGCAAGAGCTGAAGGGAGTTGTCCTGGGTGTAGTCACATGGCATCATGTAGTCACATGGCAGGTGTGGGACAGAGTGACAAACTTTCAGCCACTTAGCACAGCCTCTCCCTGCCAGCTCGGGAATCAGAAGAAAAACCCTGTGATGAGAAGGTTAGAACTAGTGATTCTCTAAACCAAATAAAGCCATGAGCACCAATATTCTGCTACTAAAGGAATAAATGAAGATCTAAATGAATACATTACAATTACACATCTCTTTCATGTCTTTTGTTTGAGCGATCCTCAGAACAATGAAAGAAAGGTAGCAGGAAGAGAATTTAGAATCCCATTTTTCAGATGAAAAAGCTGAGATGTGCACAGGTTAAGTGGCACCCCAAATCCACCAGAACCTGAGTTTGGAATCCATCCTCTTGATCCTAAATCTAGTCCCCACGCCCTGCAGATCCAAACATCTATGATCAGATAAATCTATTCATGGGGACAATATATCTACAACCAAAGATATTCTATGACTCAAGTCAGCACATGCTAAGAATTTTTCAGATGCTGTGGAAGGTGACTTAACAGGGAGGCAGCAGGTGACATAGAAAGAATCTTGGTCTCCTGGTCAGAACAGACACCCACTTTGGAGTTCCAGCTTTGCTGTTCCCTTCCTGTGTGACTTTGGGTGAATCACTGAATTTTTGTGGGCTGCATTTTCATTTATGATGGGTTGGATTACATCAGTCGTTTTCAAACTTTTTTTAAAAAACTGAAGCAATCCTTAGGTCACTGGTTAAATTCCTGCTGGAAGTAGGTGACTTATGCTTCAGCTGGGCATTGTGGCTCACACCTGTAATCCCAGCACTTTGGGAAGCCGAGCCAGGCAGATCACTTGAGGTCAGGAGTTCAAGACCAGCCTAGCCAACATGATAAAAACCATATCCATTAAAAATACAAAAATTAGCCAGGAATGGTGGCGTGTGCCTGTAATCCCAGCTACTTGGGAGGCTGAGGCAGGAGAATCGCTTGAACCTGGGAGGTGGAGGTTGCAGTGAGCTGAGATTGTGCCACTGCACTACAGCCTGGATGACAGAGCAAGACTTCATCTCCCCCCACCACCGCCCCCACAAAAAAAATAAAAAACCTGAAGCATTTTCTTTGAGAAAAAAACACACACACACACACGAGGAAATATAAATAAATTAAAGAAATCCCAGCATAACTTCTCCTACCAAATGTTTAAGATGGTGAATGGGGATAAGCCTCCTCCCCCATGACTACCACCTTAGAAATCTGCAATCCACTCTGCTTTGCTTTCTAGGAGTCTGTGGGTTGCATCTCTTTTTAGGTAAGTTCTGAGATTGCCTGCCTTCCCCCAGTTCTAATGCCCCAACCACTCCAGGAAAATGGCCTCATAGTCCCTCTCTTCACCCCTGGCCAGTGCCACAGACAGCAGGTGTTGTTCTCTGTTCACAGTGATGTTAGTGCATGAGCCCAATGGATAGAGTACCTTGTTGTTCAGCCTACCTGGGTTTAAAGAAGGCCTTTGTGGAAGCTCAAGCATTAGAAAGCTACAGATAACATTGTTTATCAGTTGCTGTTAGCAGGTGTATTTGCCAACTCTTCTCAAGTTAAACAGGAAGTGATTAAAGGACTCCTTGAAGTTAGGAAGGTAAGAAGAATAAACACTCGTAATTATGAAACAGCAGAGTCTAACCCTTTATTATGGGCTTTCCATGTGTCAACATATCCAAGCCTCTGAACAATACTAAGATTACAATATTATGATCTTAAGTTTTATTATCTGCATTGCCTATGTGAGAAAACTGAGGCTAAATTTATGAAAATCTAGAAGAAAACACAGGCATAAATATTAACAGCCTTGGATTAGTCAGTGGTTGCTTACATACAGTAGCAAAAGCACAAGCCAAACAATAATAAAAATGGCTAAACTGGACTTTTCCAAAATTAAGAACATTTGTGCTTCAAAAAATGCACAAGAACATGAAAATACAGCCCACAGACTGGGGGAAACATTTGTAAATTATATATCTTATAAGTCACTAATATTCAGAATATATTTTAAAACTCTTATAGTTCAATAGTAAAAGGACAAATAACCAATATTTTAATGGCCAAAGCATTTGTATAGATATTTCTCCAAAGAGTTACACAAGTGGCCAATAAGCCCATGAAAAATGCTCAACTTCGTTAGTTATTAGAGAAATGCAAATCAAAACCATAATGAGATGTCATTTCATATCTATTAGAATGGCTGAAATCAAAAAGGTCAATAATAACAAGTGTTGGCAAGGATGTAAAGGCACTGGAAACTTTATACATTGCTAGTACGAATGTTAAATGGTACAGCATTTTGGAAAACAATTTGGAAGTTCCTCAAAAAGTTAAAAATACAGTTATCATGTCCTCAGCAATTCTACTTCCAGGTACATGCCCAAGATAATTGAAAACATACTTCTACACAAAATCTTATATACTAGTATTCATAGCAACATTATTTACAATAGACAAAATGTGGAAACAACCTAAATGTCAGTCAACTGATGAATGGATAAGTAAAATGTAATTTATCCATAAGAGGAAATATTATTCAGTCATAAAAATGAAGTATTGATGCATGCTACAATATGAACAAACATTGAAACAAGCCAGACCCAAAAGATCACATGTTGAATTATTTCATTTATACAAACTGTCCAGAATAGGAAAATGTATAGAGACAGCAAGTAAGTTAGTGGTTGCCAGGGGCTGGGAGAACAGGAGTTTGAGAGGTGATTGCTACTAGGTATGAGGCTTATTTTGGGGATATTGAAAACATTCTGAAATTAAATAGTGGTGATGATTTTATAACTTTTTGAATATACTGAAAACCACTAAATTGTACATTTTAAAAGAATGAATTCTATGGTGTATAAATTATATCTTAATAAAAATTAATAATTAATTAATTTAGTGAATTAATGGAAAGTGCAATGGGAACTCAGAAAAGATGAAACTCAAAAGTAGCAGGAGGGATCCAGAAAGGCTTCCCTGAGGAAGTGACACAAGTTCTCCCCTTCTTAACTCTCAAGGCCCTGAAGCATAGTACATGCACAATTATTTTCAAAACTAATGTCTCAGCAGAGTAGAAAGGTCCTACTTCACATCCTGATACTCCTTCCCAGTGCCTTCCTCTCCTCTATACAGGCTTTACGTAATAATCACAAAATCCCCCAGCCCCATCTGTTCACCTGTTTTTCAGTAGAAGCTTCTTCTACACCTAAATACATTTTTAATTGTCATTTTTAAATCAATTTCTAACAGACTTTTTGCAAAAAATTCTCATATTTTCCCCATGTTCAAGTTTGGAGCTGGGTGGGAAAGGTTGCTTATAGGGATGTAAAGGAAGGGGGCTACTAGAGACTGAATGTCAGGGTGTAAAGGGCATTATTCCGTGACTTGTAGCATGGAAGCATGGTGACGAAGCACTATGCTTCAGCATAACACAGCCACAGAAGCAATGCTGGTAAGGATGTCATGTCCCAATGCCAGGATCCATTAGGAGTGTATTGATCTGAATAGGAGACAGAAGACAGAAACAATCCACTGGCAGTGGTGGAAGCCTCCAGGCGGATGGATGAAGGACAGATTTGGAAATGGGCAGTGCTGGGAGGAACGGAATCGTAACTCAAGGTCCTGAAGCAGAGAATGTTCACATTTAGAACAGGAGGTGGCTTCCCCTCTGGATTTCTGGACCTTCATATTGCTGAGGTTTGAGAAAATCATACCCTTTGGGGTATTTTTGAGATGAAGGTAAAGGCACTGATTGAAGGCCATTGGAGCTTAAGTGATAAATGAAAGGGAAGGAATGATATGACATGAGACTAGACAAGAGACAGGATCCAGAACACAGAAACCCTTACAGGCCAGGTTGAGGATTTGGGGCTGACCGGGTGCAGTGACTTGAGCCTGTAATCCCAGCACTTTGGGAGGGCAAGGCAGGAAGATCCCTTGAGCCCAGGAGTTCGAGACTAGCTTGGGAAACACAGCAAGACTCTGTATCTACAAATAAAAAATTTAAAAAATTAGCTGGGCATGGTGGTGCACACCTGTAACCTCAGCACTTTAAGAGGCCAAGGCAGATGGATTGCTTAAGCCCAGGAGTTCGAGGCCGTAGTAAGCTATTATTGTGCCACTGCGCTCCAGCCTGAGTGATAGAGGGAGAGGTTGTCTCAGAAAAAAAAAAAGGATTTGGGGCTTGATAGATGCTCAGTGTAATTGGAGGTATTAAAAGGGTTTAAGCAGGAGCTGATATAATCCAATTTATATTTTGGCATTGTGGTACAAAGAACCATCCATCCATCCAGGTGGAGGGGATGCAGGGAGTCCAGTTGAGGCTATTTATGGACAACCAGGTGAAAGATGGTGATGGTTTGGACAGTAGTGGTGGTAGTGGAAATGGAGAAAAGAGTAACAGAAGGTGACTGGGCTTATGGGGAAAGGGCATGAGTTCTGTCTGGCATTGTTATGGTTGATGTGTCTTTGTGACAGCCAAGTGGAGATTTAGAGAAGGTGATTGAATATGAGAGTTCGCAGCTCAGAGAAGTCTGGGTGGGGATATAGATGTGCAAGTCTTTGCTATGGAGTTGGTAACTGAAGCCAGGTTTCCCAGGAAGAGGTTTTAAATGGAAGAGAGAAAAGAGCCTGACTGAGCCTTGAGGAATCCACTATACTGAATAGCCTGGTGGGGAGGAAGAGTCTGCAAGAGGGACCAGAATGAGTATCCAGAGCACCAGGAAGAAAGCCTGGAGTGAGAGTTTCCCAAAGTATAAGGAAGAGGTTATTTCAAGAAAAAAAGAATGGTCAAGTAAAGTAAGGGTGGATGAATGCCCACTGGATTTGGTGACTTGGTGGCCTTCATTGACCTGAGCAAGAGCTTTCAGTGAGGGGAAGAGAATAGAAGCCAGACTGGAAAGATAAGTGCTTGTTTTGCCAGTCATGGAGGCACACACCTGCAATTCCAGCACTTTGGGCTGAGGCGGGAGGGTCATTGGAGGCCAGGAGTTTGAGACCAGCCTAAGCAACATAGTAAGACACTGCCTCTATTAAAAAAAATTTTTTTTCATAGAAATGAAGTGTTCGTTTTGAGAAATTTTGACTGAGATAGAAGAGAGAAACAAAAAAACACAAGGGAGGGGAGGTCCTGTATGCTTTTGTTTAACAAAGTGAAGCTTGAGCAGGTTTAAATTTTCTTGGGAAAAGTTGATTGAGAAGTAATTGAATATATGGGAAAGATAAGCAATAATTAATGGCATAGGGTTCTGAAAAGAGGAAGGGGGTAGGACCCCAGGCAGCAGGAGAGAAAGGCTGAAGGGGGCAAATTTTGATTTATTTGTGGGATTGGTGTTAGAAATTTGAGGAAATTCCCGTTCAATGACTTCAATTTTCTTTGAGAAGATGAAAATCTGCTGTTAACAAAGCAGGAAATAAGATTGTCAGAAGGTTGAGAGAATAAGAGCTTAAGATAATAGTTGAATTTCACGGAAGAGAATTGCAGATGCCACATAAGCACAAGAAGAGATGTTCAACATCATTTGGCATTAGAGAAATGCAAACTAAAACCACAATGAGAGAACTGCTTCCAGGAAAACGAAATAGAGGAACCCTTCCCTATTCCTCCTGCTAAGTGCCACTAAACACCCTCGACGTTTTATGTATAAAACAAACACAGGCGACTGAAAGACGCAGAGAAGGAAAAGCTGCCTAGAGATCTCAAGATGGAAGAATGACACAGTGGCGAGTTCTCTGGGTTTTCTTTTTGCCTCATTTATCCCACATTTGAAACTAAAGAAGAAGCCAGTAGCTCAGTCAAGATAATTAGTGCAGCAAAAAAAAAAAAAAAAAATACAGCCCCAATAAAGGCCTGATGTGTTTAGCCAAATAAATGGGAAAAGGGCAGCCTTTAGGCATAGCTGTCCCACTCCAGCAAAATTCCATGGAAAAGACCATGGCCCCCATCCCCACCAGCCCAGCAAAGGTTGAATGGGGAGCCTAGACTTCTACTCTGTCAGAGCTGTAAAAAGGCAACAAAGACCCCTTTTGAGATGGTGTCAGGTAAGTCCAAGTAGGGAACTGAGACTTTTATGCTCAACAATCAGTAATGAGCCCACCCCAAATTGTCAGTGGAGACCACATGATCAGCCTGGACTTCCACTTCTATCTGGCAGTAATGAGGGGCCCTCCCCCAACCTCAGATGTCAACAGAGGCCAGGTAGAGAACCTGGACTTCTACTTCTACCTGGAAGTAACAAAGAGGTGACCCCTCCTTCCCTTGCCAGAAAAGTGCCAGGGAATCCCAGCTAAAACAGAAAGTTTAAATAAGATCCACAGGCTCATATTATAGGAAAATATCCAGATTGCAAGTGAAAATTACTCATCATATACAGAACCAGGAAGATCTCAAACTAGATGAAAAACAAACAATTATAGATGCCAACACTAAGATGAGAAAGAGATGATTAGGATTATCTGACAAAGACTTTAAAGTAGCTCATATATATATATATATATATATGTATATAGTGTGTGTGTGTGTGTGTGTGTGTGTGTGTGTGTGTGTGTTTTGAGACAGAGTCTCGCTCTGTTGTCCAGGCTGGAGTGCATTGGCCCAATCTCGGCTCACTGCAGCCTCTACCTCCCTGGTTCAGGCAATTCTCAAGCCTCAGCCTTCTGAGTAGCTGTGATTACAGGCGTGCACCACCATGCTGGGATAATTTTTTGTATTTTTAGCAGAGATGGGGTTTCACCATGTAGGCCAGGCTGGTCTCCAACCCCTGGCCTCAAGCAGTTTGCCTGCCTCGGCCTCTCAAAGTGTTGGGATTACAGGCGTAAGCCACCACACCCGGCCAATATTTTAACAAACAATTTGGAACATGCATGAAACAAATGAAAAGAATTAGAAAAACTCATCTAGGAAACAGATTATATAAAGAAAAAACTCTGAATGGACTCAACCGCAGAATGGAGGGGAGAGAAGAAATATTAAACAAAATAAAGCAGGAGCAGCTATACTAATGTCAGATAAAGTAGATGTCAGAGCAAAGAAAATTACCAAAGAGAGAGAAGAACCCTATATATGATGAAGTGTAAATCCTCCAAGAAGACTTAATAATTCTGAAAGTGTATGCACCAAATGCTGGAGCTGAAAAATATGTGAAGCAAAAACTGATGGAATTGAAAGCAGAATGAAGCAATGGAAACTTCAACAACTCCCTCTCAATAATTGTGAGAACAACTAGGCAGAAAATAAGCCAGGATGTACAAGAACTCAACACACCATCAAGGAATGGTATCTAATCAACATTTATAGAATGTTCCACTCACCAGCAGCAGAATACACATACTTTTCAAATGCCCATAGAACATATACCATGATAGGTAATATTTTGTGTCATGGAGTGTAGTGGCATGATCTCAGCTCACTGCAACCTCCGCCTCCCAAGTTCAAGCAAATCTCGTGCCTCAGCCTCCCTAGTAGCTGGAATTACAGGCATGTGCCACCACGCCCAACTAATTTTTGTATTTTTAGTAGAGACAGGGTTTCGCCAGGTTGGCCAGGCTGGTCTTGGCCTCCCAAAGTGCTGAGATTACAGGTGTGAGCCACCACACCTGGCCAACAAATTTAAAATAACTGAAATGATATAGAGTATGTTCTGTAATCATAATGAACCAAAATAGAAATCAACAACAGAAAGATAACAGGAAAATCTTCCAACATTTGCAAACTAAACAAAACACTTTTAAATGATTCATGAGTGAAAGGGAAAGCATCAAGGGAAATTTTAAAAATGCATTTAACTGAATGAAAATTAAAAAATAAAACATATGAAAATGCATAAGACACAGCTACATTAGTGCTGAGAGGGAAATTAATAGCACTGAATACATTCATTAGAAAAGAGAAAAGATTTCAACTCAATTATCTAAGCTCCCACCTCAAGAATCTACAAAAGAAGAGCAAAATAAACCCAAAGCAAGTAGAATAAAGCAAATAATAAAGATGACAACAAAATTGGCTGGACGCGGTGGCTCATGCCTGTAATCCCAACACTTTGGGAGACCAAGGTGGGTGAATGACCTGAGGACAGGAGCTCGAGACCAGCCTGGCCAACATGGTGAAACCCCATCTCAAATAATAATACAAGAAAATTTAGCCAGGCATGGTGGTGCACACCTGTAATCTCAGCTACTCCAGAGGCTAAGGCAGGAGAATCACTTGAACCCAGGAGGCGGAGGTTGCAGTGAACTAAGATTGTGCCATTGCACTCCAGCCTGGGCAACAAGAGTAAAACTGCATCTCAAAAATAAATAAATAAATAACAGCAAAATCACTAAAATTAAAAACACAAATCTACAGAAAACCAATAAAACAAAGACCTTTTTTTTTGGAAAAGGTAAATTCACAAAACTCTTGTAAGACAACAAAGAATAGAAGAGAGAAAACAAAAATCTCAAATATCAAGAATAAAACTGAGATATCTCTACAGATCCTGGAGACAGCAAAAGGATAATATGGAAATACTATAATCTACACTCATAAATCTCCAAGCCTAGATGAAATGGATCAATCCCTCAAAAAAGCACAAACTACTACAGTTCACCCAATATGAAATAGATAATTTAAATAGCCCTTTAGCCCAGTGCGGTGGCGCTTGCCTGTAATCCCAACTACTAGGGAGGTTGAGGCATAAGAATCGTTTGAACTTGGGAGGCGGAGGTTGCAGTGAGCTGAGATCATGCCACTACACTCCAGCATGGGTGACAGAGCGAGATTCCCTCTCAAAAAAATAAAAAATGAAAACAAAGTTACTAACCCAACAACTATTAAGTAAATTGAATTTATAATTTCCAAACTCCTAAAAAAGAAATTCCAGACCCAGATGATTTTATTAGTGAATTCCATCAAATGTTTAAAGAAGAACAAATACCCATTCTATGCAATATTGTCTAGAAAATGGAAGCAGAGGAAACACTTCTCAATTCATTTTATGAAGTTAGTATTAACCTTATACCCAAACCAGATATGACAAGAAAATAAAACTACAGACCAATACCTCTCATGAATATAGATGCAAAAACCCTTAACAGAATATTATCAAATAGAAATTAACAACCTACAAAAAGGATTATATACCATGATCAAACAGGGTTTATTCCCAGGGATACATGGCTAATTTTCATATGGGAAAATTAATCATTATAACCGATCATACTAACATACTAAAGAATTTAAAATCCCATGATCATATCAATAGATATAGAAAAGGTACTTGACAAAATTCCACACCCGTTCATAGGAAAAACTCAGAAATATAAGAATAGAGGAGAACTTCTTTAACTTGATACACAATCTACAAAAACTTATAGCTAACATACTTAATGGTGAAAAACTGAATTCTTTCCTCCTGAGATCAGGAGCAAAGCAAGCTGTCTGCTCTCACCAATCTTATTCAACATAGTGCTAGAATTTCTAGCTAGTGCAATTAAGGCAAGAAAAGGAAATAAAATGCATACAGGTTAGAAAGGAAGAAATCGAACTGCATCACTTTGCAGATGACATGGTTGTCTGCATAGAAAATCCCAAAGCATCTTACAAATAAGCTCCCAGAATTAAGTCACCATCAATGCAGGCTGCAGGATAAACATATAAAAAGCAAATTGTTTCTGTATACTAGCAACACATGGAAACTGAAATTAGAATACAATACCGCTTATAATTGCTCAAATAAAATTAACTACTCAGATGCAAATATAAAATAGCATATACAGGATTTGTATACTGAAAACTATGCAATGCTGATGAAAGAAATCAAAGAAGATCCGAATACACAGAAAGACACATCATGTTCATGAACTAGACTATTCAACACTGTTAAATATTAATTCTCCCCAAATTGATATACAGGTAGAAAGGAATGACTATTAAAATCCTAGCAAAATGTTTGTAGCTATAGATTATTTTCAAATTCATAAGAAAGGCAAAAAAGCAAGATTACTTTAAAGTTTTTGGAAAGGAAAAATAAAGAAGGAGAAATCTGTGTATTCGATTTTAAGACACAGAGCTACGTAACCAAGACTGTGTAATTTGGCAGAAGGATAGTCACACAGGTCGGTGGAACAGCACAGAGAACCCAGAAACAAACCCATACCAACATGCCCAACTGTTTTTGACAATGGGGCAGAAGCGATTCAATGGAAGGATAATCTTTCCAACAAATGGAAATCCACAGGCAAAAATAAATAAACAACAAACAAAAATAAACCTTGACCTATGTCCTACATCTTATACAAAAATTAACTCAAAATAGATCATGGATATAGATATAAAATGTAAAACTATACAACTTTCAGTAAAAAACTTGGGAGAAAATCTACAGAATAGAGGGCCAGGAAGAGTGTTCTCAGAATTGATACCAAAAGGATAAGTCCATAAAAGGAAAACCTGATAAATTGCTCTTCATCAAATTAAAAACTTTTGATCTGCAAAAGGACTCTGTTATGAGGATGAAAAGACAAGCTTCAGAATGGAAGAAAATATTTGGAAACAATATGTCTGACAAAGTGCTAGTGTCTAGAGTATATAAAGAACCTGAAGACTCAACAGTTAAAAAATAATGCAACTAGGGGGAGGAGCCAAGATGGCCGAATAGGAACAGCTCCGGTCTACAGCTCCCAGCGTGAGCGACGCAGAAGACGGGTGATTTCTGCATTTCCATCTGAGGTACCGGGTTCATCTCACTAGGGAGTGCCAGACAGTGGGCGCAGGTCAGTGGGTGCGTGCACCATGCGCGAGCCGAAGCAGGGCGAGGCATTGCCTCACTAGGGAAGCGCAAGGGGTCAGGGAGTTCCCTTTCCGAGTCAAAGAAAGGGGTGACAGACGCACCTGGAAAATCGGGTCACTCCCACCCGAATATTGCGCTTTTCGGACCAGCTTAAAAAACGGCGCACCACGAGATTATATCCCACACATGGCTCGGAGGGTCCTACGCCCACAGAGTCTCGCTGATTTCTAGCACAGCAGTCTGAGATCAAACTGCAAGGCGGCAGCGAGGCTGGGGGAGGGGCTCCCGCCATTGCCCAGGCTTTCTTAGGTAAACAAAGCAGCGGGGAAGCTCGAACTGGGTGGAGCCCACCACAGCTCAAGGAGGCCTGCCTGCCTCTGTAGGCTCCACCTCTGGGGGCAGGGCACAGACAAACAAAAAGACAGCAGTAACCTCTGCAGACTTAAATGTCCCTGTCTGACAGCTTTGAAGAGAGCAGTGGTTCTCCCAGCATGCAGCTGGAGATCTGAGAACGGGCAGACTGCCTCCTCAAGTGGGTCCCTGACCCCTGACCCCCGAGCAGCCTAACTGGGAGGCACCCCCCAGCAGGGGCACACTGACATCTCACAAGGCAGGGTATTCCAACAGACCTGCAGCTGAGGGTCCTGTCTGTTAGAAGGAAAACTAACAAACAGAAAGGACATCCACACCAAAAACCCGTCTGTACATCACCATCATCAAAGACCAAAAGTAGATAAAACCACAAAGATGGGGAAAAAACAGAACAGAAAAACTGGAAATTCTAAAACGCAGAGCGCCTCTCCTCCTCCAAAGTAACGCAGTTCCTCACCAGCAACGGAACAAAGCTGGATGGAGAATGACTTTGACGAGCTGAGAGAAGAAGGCTTCAGACAATCAAATTACTCTGAGCTACGGGAGGACATTCAAACCAAAGGCAAAGAAGTTGAAAACTTTGAAAAAAATTTAGAAGAATGTATAACTAGAATAACCAATACAGAGAAGTGCTTAAAGGAGCTGATGGAGCTGAAAACCAAGGCTCGAGAACTATGTGAAGAATGCAGAAGCCTCAGGAGCCGATGCGATCAACTGGAAGAAAGGCTATCAGCAATGGAAGATGAAATGAATGAAATGAAGAGAGAAGGGAAGTTTAGAGAAAAAAGAATAAAAAGAAATGAGCAAAGCCTCCAAGAAATATGGGACTATGTGAAAAGACCAAATCTACGTATGATTGGTGTACCTGAAAGTGATGGGGAGAATGGAACCAAGCTGGAAAACACTCTGCAGGATATTATCCAGGAGAACTTCCCCAATCTAGCAAGGCAGGCCAACATTCAGATTCAGGAAATACAGAGAACGCCACAAAGATACTCCTCGAGAAGAGCAACTCCAAGACACGTAATTGTCAGTTTCACCAAAGTTGAAATGAAGGAAAAAATGTTAAGGGCAGCCAGAGAGAAAGGTCGGGTTACCCTCAAAGGGAAGCCCATCAGACTAACAGCGGATCTCTCGGCAGAAACCCTACAAGCCAGAAGAGAGTGGGGGCCAATATTCAACATTCTTAAAGAAAAGAATTTTCAACCCAGAATTTCATATCCAGCCAAACTAAGCTTCATAAGTGAAGGAGAAATAAAATAAGTGAAGGAGAAATAAAATACTTTACAGACAAGCAAATGCTGAGAGATTTTGTGACCACCAGGCCTGCCCTAAAAGAGCTCCTGAAGGAAGCGCTAAACATGGAAAGGAACAACCAGTACCAGCCGCTGCAAAATCATGCCAAAATGTAAAGACCATCGAGACTAGGAAGAAACTGCATCAACTAACGAGCAAAATAACCAGCTAACATCATAATGACAGGATCAAATTCACACATAACAATATTAACTTTAAATGTAAATGGACTAAATGCTCCAATTAAAAGACACAGACTGGCAAATTGGATAAAGAGTCAAGACCCATCAGTGTGCTGTATTCAGGAAACCCATCTCACGTGCAGAGACACACATAGGCTCAAAATAAAAGGATGGAGGAAGATCTACCAAGCAAATGGAAAACAAAAAAAGGCAGGGGTTGCAATCCTAGTCTCTGATAAAACAGACTTTAAACCAACAAAGATCAAAATAGACAAAGAAGGCCATTACATAATGGTAAAGGGATCAATTCAACAAGAAGAGCTAACTATCCTAAATATATATGCACCCAATACAGGAGTACCCAGATTCATAAAGCAAGTCCTGAGTGACCTACAAAGAGACTTAGACTCCCACACATTAATAATGGGAGACTTTAACACCCCACTGTCAACATTAGACAGATCAACGAGACAGAAAGTCAACAAGGATACCCAGGAATTGAACTCAGCTCTGCACCAAGTGGACCTAATAGACATCTACAGAACTCTCCACCCCAAATCAACAGAATATACATTTTTTTCAGCACCACACCACACCTATTCCAAAATTGACCACATACTTGGAAGTAAAGCTCTCCTCAGCAAATGTAAAAGAACAGAGATTATAACAAACTGTCTCTTAGACCACAGTGCAATCAAACTAGAACTCAGGATTAAGAATCTCACTCAAAACCGCTCAACTTCATGGAAACTGAACAACCTGCTCCTGAATGACTACTGGGTACATAACGAAATGAAGGCAGAAATAAAGATGTTCTTTGAAACCAACGAGAACAAACACACAACATACCAGAATCTCTGGGACGCATTCAAAGCAGTGTGTAGAGGGAAATTTATAGCACTAAATGCCCACAAGAGAAAGCAGGAAAGATCCAAAATTGACACCCTAACATCACAATTAAAAGAACTAGAAAAGCAAGAGCAAACACATTCAAAAGCTAGCAGAAGGCAAGAAATAACTAAGATCAGAGCAGAACTGAAGGAAATAGAGACACAAAAAACCCTTCAAAAAATTAATGAATCCAGGAGCTGGTTTTTTGAAAGGATCAACAAAATTGATAGACTGCTAGCAAGACTAATAAAGAAGAAAAGAGAGAAGAATCAAATAGACACAATAAAAAATGATAAAGGGGATATCACCACTGATCCCACAGAAATACAAACTACCATCAGAGAATACTACAAACACCTCTACGCAAATAAACTAGAAAATCTAGAAGAAATGGATAAATTCCTCAACACATACACTCTCCCAAGACTAAACCAGGAAGAAGTTGAATCTCGGAATAGACCAGTAACAGGAGCTGAAATTGTGGCAATAATCAATAGTTTACCAACCAAAAAGAGTCCAGGACCAGATGGATTCACAGCTGAATTCTATCAGAGGTACAAGGAGGAGCTGGTACCATTCCTTCTGAAACTATTCCAATCAATAGAAAAAGAGGGAATCCTCCCTAACTCATTTTATGAGGCCAGCATCATTCTGATACCAAAGCCGAGCAGAGACACAACCAAAAAAGAGAATTTTAGATCAATATCCTTGATGAACATTGATGCAAAAATCCTCAATAAAACACTGGCAAAATGAATCCATCAAAAAGCTTATCCACCATGATCAAGTGGGCTTCATCCCTGGGATGCAAGGCTGGTTCAACATATGCAAATCAATAAATGTAATCCAGCATATAAACAGAGCCAAAGACAAAAACCACATGATTATCTCAATAGATGCAGAAAAGGCCTTTGACAAAATTCAACAACCCTTCATGCTAAAAACTCTCAATAAATTAGGTATTGATGGGACGTATTTCAAAATAATAAGAGCTATCTATGACAAACCCACAGCCAATATCATACTGAATGGGCAAAAACTGGAAGCATTCCCTTTGAAAACTGGCACAAGACAGGGATGCCCTCTCTCACCACTCCTATTCAACATAGTGTTGGAAGTTCTGGCCAGGGCAATTAGGCAGGAGAAGGAAATAAAGGGTATTCAATTAGGAAAAGAGGAAGTCAAATTGTCCCTGTTTGCAGACGACATGATTGTATATCTAGAAAACCCCACTGTCTCAGCCCAAAATCTCCTTAAGCTGATAAGCAACTTCAGCAAAGTCTCAGGATACAAAATCAATGTACAAAAATCACAAGCATTCTTATACACCAATAACAGACAAACAGAGAGCCAAATCATGAGTGAACTCCCATTCACAATTGCTTCAAAGAGAATAAAATACCTAGGAATCCAACTTACAAGGGATGTGAAGGACCTCTTCAAGGAGAACTACAAACCACTGCTCAAGGAAATAAAAGAGGATACAAACAAATGGAAGAACATTCCATGCTCACGGGTAGGAAGAATCAATATCGTGAAAATGGCCATACTGCCCAAGGTAATTTACAGATTCAATGCCATCCCCATAAAGCTACCAATGACTTTCTTCACAGAATTGGAAAAAACTACTTTAAAGTTCATATGGAACCAAAAAAGAGCCCGCATCTCCAAGGCAATCCTAAGCCAAAAGAACAAAGCTGGAGGCATCACACTACCTGACTTCAAACTATACTACAAGGCTACTGTAACCAAAACAGCATGGTACTGGTACCAAAACAGAGATATAGATCAATGGAACAGAACAGAGCCCTCAGAAATAACGATGCATATCTACAAGTATCTGATCTTTGATAAACCTGAGAAAAACAAGCAATGGGGAAAGGATTCCCTATTTAATAAATGGTGCTGGGAAAACTGGCTAGCCATATGTAGAAAGCTGAAACTGGATCCCTTCCTTACACCTTATACAAAAATCAATTCAAGATGGATTAAAGACTTAAACGTTAGACCTAAAACCATAAAAACCCTAGAAGAAAACCTAGGCATTACCATTCAGGACATAGGCATGGGCAAGGACTTCATGTCCAAAACACCAAAAGCAATGGCAACAAAAGACAAAATTGACAAATGGGATCTAATTAAACTAAAGAGCTTCTGCACAGCAAAAGAAACTACCATCAGAGTGAACAGGCAACCTACAAAATGGGAGAAATTTTCGCAACCTACTCATCTGACAAAGGGCTAATATCCAGAATCTACAATGAACTCAAACAAATTTATAAGAAAAAAACAAACAACCCCATCAAAAAGTGGGCAAAGGATATGAACAGACACTTCTCAAAAGAAGACATTTATGCAGCCAAAAAACACATGAAAAAATGCTCATCATCACTGGCCATCAGAGAAATGCAAATCAAAACCACAATGAGATACCATCTCACACCAGTTAGAATGGCAATCATTAAAAAGTCAGGAAACAACAGGTACTGGAGAGGATGTGGAGAAATAGGAACACTTTTACACTGTTGGTGGGACTGTAAACTAGTTCAACCATTGTGGAAGTCAGTGTGGCGATTCCTCAGGGATCTAGAACTAGAAATACCATTTGACCCAGCCATCCCATTACTGGGTATATACCCAAAGGACTATAAATCATGCTGCTATAAAGATACATGCACACGTATGTTTATTGCGGCATTATTCACAATAGCAAAGACTTGGAACCAACCCAAATGTCCAACAATGATAGACTGGATCAAGAAAATGTGGCACATATACACCATGGAATACTATGCAGCCATAAAAAATGATGAGTTCATGTCCTTTGTAGGGACATGGATGAAATTGGAAATCATCATTCTCAGTAAACTATCGCAAGAACGAAAAACCAAACACCGCATATTCTCACTCATAGGTGGGAATTGAACAATGAGATCACATGGACACAGGAAGGGGAATATCACACTCTGGGGACTTTTGTGGGGTGAGGGGAGAGGGGAGGGATAGCATTGGGAGATATACCTAATGCTAGATGACGAGTTAGTGGGTGCAGTGCACCAGCATGGCACATGTATACATATGTAACTAACCTGCACAATGTGCACATGTACCCTAAAACTTAAAGTATAATAAAAAAAAATTAAAAAAAAATAATGCAACTAAAAATGGGCAAATACATGCAGAGATATTGTACTGAAGAGAATATACAGATGGCAAATAAGCACATGAAAAGATGTTCAACCTTATTAGCCACTAAGAAAATGCAAATTAAAACCAGAGTGAGATAACCTCACATAGCTATCAAAATGACTAAAATTAAAAACAGGCCCCACATGTTGGCTCATGCCTGTAATCCCAAAATTTTAGGAGGCTGAGGCAGGAGGATGGTTTGAGCACAGGAGTTTGAGACCAGCCTGGGCAACATAGTAAGACCCAGTCGTTATAAATAAATAAATAAATACAAACAGAGACAACATCTAATGCCAGTGAGAACATGAGGAAAATTCACCACTGACACGTTGCTGGTGGGTATGTAAAATGGTACAGCCACTCTGAAAGATAGCTTGATAGTTTTCTTAAAAACAAAGTGCAACTACCATACCACCTAGTACACCTCCGGGCATTTAATCCAGAGAAATGAAGCCTTCTGTTCACACAAAAAGACCTATACACAAATGCTGATAATAGCCTTTTTGCCCCACAGTGGAATAAACATAGCTGTCCTTCAAAAGGTAAATGATTAAACAAACTGTAGTATGTACATACATGGAATAGTATTCAGTAATCAAAAAGAATGAACTATTGATATACACAACAACCTGGATGAATCTCCAGAAACTTATACTGAGAAAAAAATCCCTGTAACAAAAGGTTACATACTGAATGAGTCCATTTATATATCATTTGTGAAATGATAAAATTTTAGAAATGGAAGACAGATTAGGATTTTTCTGGAGTTAGGGATGGAGTAGGGGTGGGAGGAAGGTGGGGGTGACTATAAAAGAATACATAATGAATCCTTGTGCTGTTACAGTTGTTTAGTATCTTTGTTATGATAAAGAATACATGAACCTACACAGATGATAAAATTGTATAGAATTTACACACACAAATGAGGACAAGTAAAATGGAAATCTGCATAAGATCAGTGAATTATATCCATGTTAGTATTCTTGTTGTCATATTATGCTATAACTCTGCAAAATATTACCATTAGAGGAAACTGGGAAAACTATGCAAAGGATCTCTGTATTATTTTTCTTTCTTTCTTTTTTTTTTTTTTTGAGACACAGATTTGCTCTGTCGCCCAGGCTGGAGTGCAATGGTGCGATCTTGGCCCACTGCAACCTCCGCCTCCTGGATTCAGGCCATTCTCCTGCCTCAGCCTCCCAAGTAGCTGGGACTACAGGCATGCACCACCACATTCAGCTAATTTTTGCATTTTTAGTACAGACAGGGTTTGTTTCACCATGTTGGCCAGGCTGGTCTCGAACTCCTGACTTCAAGTGATTCGCCCACCTCAGCCTCCCAAAGTGCTGGGATTACAGACATGAGCCATTGCGCCCTGCCTGGATCTCTGTATTATTTCTTACAGCTGCATGTGAATCTATAATTGTTTTTCCACACATAAATTAATACAATTATATATTTTGTTTCATATAAAAATATAAGTTGACTGGAAAGTGTAGTAGGAGAAGCTCGGGACAGTAGCCATGACCATTTGAGATAAGTGATTATAGTCCTGTTGTTTAAGTTCCTCTAGCACTTCTTGGCTGCTCAGGTAAGGCCTTGAGAGGAAATTATGTGGGGTCATCCAGAGGTGGGGTTTCGTTGATGACCATGAGAAAAGAAAAAAAGAAAAATAAGGTTTAGGGCCATTAAAGTGACAGTGTTGAGAATCTAGTCTGACTGAGGAGGATAATGAAGAGAAAGAGGTGATGCTTTGGATGAAAGCAAGAGTCAACAGACTAGAAATCCTAATGAAGTAAAAACACAGAGTGGGGTAAGTGAGCATGCAAGCTGGTTGGAAAGGAGCAGTCAGGGAGAATGAAATTTTAATTAGACTATGAAGATGGACCATCTTGGAGGGGACATAAGGTCAAGGATGACTATGCAAGTCATGGGTGAGGTGGAGTGGACAAGGAGTTCACTGGTAATAAGGAGGTCAAGGAAACAAGAGTCGCAGATATTGGATGCTGAAGTCATCAGATTTATGGACAGCTGATAGAGCGAAGAGCAGGACCTTGCACCAGGAACCTAATGCTTTAGCCTGTGAAGTGATGTGGTGGCTTAGTAACATGTCAGCTTGGCTAGGTGGAAGCAGATTTCCTAGAATCCCTTTCCTGTTTGTTTTCAGTTAGGCTTGGCCACAAGAGACAAATTGCAAGGCATGGAGACATTTTTCTAACACTTGAAAATTCTATGCAAGAGCACCAGGCAGCTCAGTCACCTTGTCACTTATCTACTGGGTCACCTTGTTGGCATGGGATGCCAGCCAGGCTTGCAGCTGCTCCATCCTCCCCTGAATTTGTACTTCAGCTTCTCCACTCATGGGTAAGTTATGTGTTTATCTGCTTTTCTTACAAGACACCGTATATTTAAAATTGGAGGCAGTGCAATACTAACATGGGTTCCAGTCCTTCTGTGTTCATTTCAGCTCATGCTTGTCATCTCCAGCTTGTCCTTGCTCTCTACCACTTTGCAATCATCTTCCCTTCCCTTCCCAGCCTGCCCTGAGGACTTCATGGTTCAGCATCAGATATGAAGACGACAGCCCTATAGAGACTATTTAACCAGCTTCTAAGGTGGTTAAATATCTTACCAGCCTATGTAAGGCCGAATCCTACTAACAAAGCACTGGTATATGTAATATCCCAGTGGTTTGCTTCTCTAATTGAACCCTGACTACTACAGGTAAGAATTTTGACAAGAATATATTAATTCTTCTAGGATGAAGAAAGGGAAACTCACTTCAGGTCAATAGAGATTGTCATTTGGGACCCCTTCAAGACAACCAATTATATGACTGTCTCTAAAATATTGCTATCCAGCCCCCATTCCTCACTTTTGTCCTACTGGTAATAAGACATTCATCGTGTATCTTTCAGAAGTCCAGATACCACAGTCTGAGTAGTTCTTTAATCTGCTTATCTGGTGATTCCATCACAAATGGTTCAGGTAAGTCTGGCATGCCTTGGGCTTGGTGTGATTTTCTACACAAAACACAGATTATAGGTGGACCTGACAATTAATCTAATTAATAAGAAATGCTACATTCAAAGCATTTTATCCCAGACTCAGCTATCTCAGTTATAAGAAACATATGTTTTCTATTTGAGAACCCTTGGATTTATGCACATTCAATTTGGAGGTTAGAAGGAATAAGGATGAGAGTTCGTAGTGTCTGCTTTATCCAAGCCTTTTTACAAGGTGAAGATGTGTTAACTAGTTACTATTTTGAGCTCTTCATACTAAAGTTTTGAGTGAAAAACACAATCTGCTAAGTCAAGGCAACAATATTTTTCTTTTTTTGAACTTACTGCACCATTTAAATTATGAAGAAATCAAATGTTAATAATCATAAACACTTTGTGTTGTAAAACGGCTTTCCCCTCTCTTTCCTTCACTGTACACTGTACTAAAATGTTTCAGATACTTCCAGAGACAACTGCCTTTAGAGGAGTCATACACATTCTCCTTCAGCCTGGACACTAACTCAGTAAGCAGCAGCTTCAGAATAATGCACCTGTGATCAGGCCAATTGGGATAGAGGCATCATCTGCCCTTATCTTCTCAGAGCCAAAGAAACTAACTTAATTTTCCGTATCAGCTTCATTTTCCCCTTTACTCAATGCCCAGAGATTAATTCTTGGTTTCAGCCCCACCCCATGAAAAGGATGTCTATTCAATCAGAGAGACACAAAGATGGCTTGTGCAAACCAAGCAAAAAAGACACAAGAGGAATTTATTCTGGTTAATAAGCTGAGAGCAAACATGTAGAGGCTAATTGTATGGTGAGTACAAGAAGAGTTTCTTATCTGGGGAGTGTATAATGTTGGGGTAGACACTGTCATTTGTTTTCTTATCCAATAGCCATCATTCTTCATTGCTTAGAAAAAAAAACTTTGTGCTACAGCTGTCAGGCAAGTGGCATGGGATTTAGGAGAAAATTATTTGCTGTCAGCCCTGAAGGATGAAGGAATCACAATTTCTCTGTACAATCATGGTAGTCAGCTTTCAAGATTCCTCCAATGATTCTCATCTCCTGCTATTCATGCCCTTGTGTAGTTATCTCTTGCACAGAATAGGGCTGATGTGTGACCAGTAGGATATTATGGAAATGGCAGAATTTGATGTTCATAAAAGATGTTGCAGCTTTTACCTCGCTCTCTCAGATTATTCACCCTGGAGAAGGCTGTTGTTTATCTTTTCACATTGTGAAAACATTCAAGTGGCCCTCTGTGAAGTCCATGTGATTGGGACTTGAGGCTTCCTGACAATAGCCACCACGAATTTGCCGACCATGTGAGTGGCACAACTTTGTTCAGGTGACTGGAGGCCCAGCTGGCATTTTGCCTGCTATTTCATAAGAGACTCCAAGCCAGAACCATCCAACAGAGCCAACTAAGTCTCTTCCAAATTCCTGGCCCAAAGAAACTCTGAGAGATAATACATATTTATTGTTATTTAAGCCACTGAATTTCAGAGTAATTTGTTATGCAGAAATAAATAACACCAATTGTGTTGAATCCCATTTCTCTCTCATGGTATATATGTAGTCAGAAAACCATAGACTAAAATCCACAGGCATATATGATAGTCCTTGACATTACCCATGTCTTAGTTTAATAATCCTGGCTAGTTAAGTACTGCTAATCCATATCTCCAGAAAAATTTAGAAAGCCCTGATTTGCAGTGTTTACCTAGTTGTGTGGTGCAAATATTCCCACTGGTTGACATCATGCTACCAACACAGAGTTGGGAAGAAATGCACACAATTGGTTCTTGCAAGCTCATATGAGCCCCAACGCACCACTGAATTGAGCTCAGAAGAAATAGATTGGGTCAAGTAATCATACTGACCTCTGCCTGTTTGGCCAGAAGGATCTTCAGAGGTAGTGTAATGTTTTGACAATAGCTTTAGGACCAAATGACCAGGAACATAATTTTGCCTATGCTGTTTTCTGGCTGAGTGACCTCAATAGGTACTGCTTATTGGCAATAAGTGTCAGATTCTTCATCTGTAAAATGAGGATGGCAATTTCTGCTCATCAGAGATTTGAGAGAATTAAGTGAAAATAACAATAGCAAAAACAACAGTTATAAGTACTTACTATATATCAGGCCAGAGTTGCTTATAAGATATCATTACTTAATTTAATAATACAGGCAAAGCAGTAGGGACTAAATGAATGCTAACTATCAGCATTGTTATTACATTTCTGAGCAGGGAGCTGTTCATTAGAATGAACACTGAATCAGAAATTGTTGGAACTGACCTGTCTCCTATTTTCCAACCTCAATTCTTCGTCTTCCTAAGTTGGGCAAAAGGCTCCAGTGAAGAGCTGTGAGGCTTATGTATGGGGACTCACCAGGGGCCAGCCCAGGCTGCCCACAAGACCATGAGCCACCCTGTGACTGAATGAAGTGGAGAGAAGGGAAAGTAGTTAAGAAATCAAGAAAAGTGTCTTTCAGCACCATGGCCAGAAGTTGTGCCACAGAATTGGAACAGGGAAACCCAGAGAGCCAGTGCTGTCCTAGTCCTAGTGCTGAATGATCCCATTGGTGTCCTTAGAAGGGCTCTGACTTCAGCCCACCAGCAGCATGTGGACTTATAAGCTTTCTAGCAGAGTTGGAGATCCCCAGGAAAAAGAAATCTCTTAAAATGAAATGAAACTTCAATCAACCAAGGCTTTCTAGCCTGATGTGAGTTGTCTTTACACACATATACCTTTTTAACAAAGAAGAAGAAAAGAATGGACATTGATAGAACTTGCATTCTGTGTTCATCACCAGGATAGTTGCTTTATAAATATCATTTTGTTTTTAGTCACAACCCAATGCAGCATTTTCCTTACTGACAAAGAACCTGAGGCATGGAGAATTTAAGCAACTCCCTGAAGGCCACCCAGCTAATCAGCAGTGGGAAAAGAATTTAATTCTAGATCTTTCATTCTAAAGCCCAGCTCCTTACACACGTTGGATGCTACTATTTCCAAAATGTCAACAACACTTTGGACTATCAACCTGTCTAAAGAGTATTTGAAGCAGGTAATACAAATTGTTTTCTAATTTATTATGGTCAGTTCTCTTCTTTGAATCCAGGTGATGCTGATGTCTTCATACCTCCTCTTCACCCTTCAGAAGAGGTCCTCTTGCTTCTAGAAAGAGAATACAAATAGCTACATTCCTACTCAGTGGGAGAAAGTGAGACTGTTCCAGAAGATGAGGACTTAGGCTGGTAATGTCCTGAGGAAATGACTATGCCAACCTAGAGATCCCCTTGTGTGTGGTAAGGTCCCCAATGAACAGAATGGGGCCCTCACCTAACCACATCTCAGGCCTGGCTTCAAGATGGGTTTCAAACCAGAAAGTAATCATATCGGATGATTACTACATACTACATACATTGCCATCCTCATTTTATAGATGAAGAATCTGACTCTTATTGCCAATAAGCAGTGCATGTTGAGGTCACTCAGCCAGGAAATAGCAGAGGCAAATTTAGGCTCCTGGTCATTTGGTCCTAAAGCTACTGTCAGTAATCTCAGTATGCCTGAGATGTGGTCAGGTCAGCATACTTTAGAATGAACTTTTATGCTAAGATAATAACATGGTGGTTAAGTATTGACTCAGATTGCCTACATTTGCATTAAGTTTTCACTGTGCTAAACTTAAGTTTTCAGCTGTGTTATTTGGGGGCACTAACTCCATAAGCCTCAGGTTTTTTTTTTCTGTTTTTGTTTTTGTTTTGAGATGGCGTCTCGCTCTGTTGCCCAGGCTGGAGTGCAGTGGTGCAATCTCAGCTCACTGCAACTTCTGCCTCCCAGGTTCAAGCAATTCCCTGCCTCAGCCTCCCGAGTAGCTGGGATTACAGGCGCCTGCCACCATGCCTGGCTAATTTTTGTATTTTTAGTAGAGAGGGGGTTTCACTATGTTGGCCAGGCTGGTCTTGAACTCCTGACCTCATGATACACCTGCCTCGGCCTCCTAAAGTGCTGGGATTACAGGGGTGAGCCACTGTGCCCGGTGGGTTTTGTAGCTTTAAAATGGGAACTATAAGGTTGTTTACATGCAATTATGTATGTCATGTGCTTTCCCTAAGGAAATTATTCAACAAACTTTAGGTAGTTTTATTATTATTATTATTTCTGTGCAGTGATGCAGGCCTCTGAAGGAAAAGGTGCACATTTTCAACAATAAAAGAGAGACATTCCTTTAGTGTATCTCCACATTCCCTGAAGGGGAGCTGGAATGACATGACGGACTTGGCCTCAGGGCCCCAAGCCTTCCCTGTTGCAGTCTTCATGACACTCCTCAGAAGCAGCAACTCCAGCCATGTCTGGAACCATTCCTTACCAGACAGGAGGATATCATGGCCTCAACTCATGATCTGTACCAAGCCAAACCTCTTTTGGGGTACCCACCAAGCCTCAGGCCTCACCTTCTCTGCCCTGTTGTCCCTGCCCATCTGTCCTGGTTTTCTACTAGTTTCCACTACTGGACACTTGTCTGAGGCTGGGTCCCCACCTGGATCTTGTGGCCTCTTGCCCAGGGCTTGGAGGGAAGCTGCTCCCACACTTGAAGATGACAGCTGAGCATGGTCCTTTGTGGGCGTGCTGTCAGGAAGATGACAGTGCAATCTGTTTAATGTGCCAGTTGTCTCTGTGAGTCCCTCATCCGGATGAGCACTTGTCACACCCCTGCAGAGCCCCAGCTGGTTCTTAGAGAGGTGCTCCAGCTCTGTGATTACCTAATCTGGCTTCCCAATCTATCCCACAATGTGTCATTGCTGAGGTCCCTGTGGGTCTTGCAGATAAACTTGCTACAGTCATCCTACACAAAAAAGAAGCTCGTTATCATGAAACCGGCCTGCTTTTTAGCTCCTGGGCCCTAACTCACCCCAGATTGCTGCCAGCTCTTTTGTTTTCCCACTTAGACCAAAGGGATTGAGAAGCTTTCCCATTCCTTGGAGCTGCCACCCTCCATTCTAAGGCAGTCTCCCCCTTCACCCTGCTTGCTGCACCCCAGATGCTGCAAGGCCCATGTGCTGTTTTTGACTTCAGTACTTCAGATTGCTGTGGGAACACAGGAGGCAGCAGCCAGATGAGAAATTGAGTCTGACTCTGGAGTATTATAAAGTCCTTATAGTTACTGGCATTAGGTATAGGGTCTGTATTATTAAAGAGAAATTATTCACCAAACACTTGTTAAAAATGGCAAGACAGTTTATTTAAGAGCATTGCAATAGGTAAGTGCTATGGTCTCAATGTTTGTGTCTCCCTCAAATTCATAAGTTGAAACTTCACTTCCAAGATGAAGGAATTAGGAGGTGGGCACTTTAAGGGATGATTATGTCATAGGCCAGAGCCCTCATGAACGAGATCAGTGCCCTTCTAAAAGAGGCATTGGGAGAGACCCCTCACCTTTTCCATCATATGAGGACACAGCCAGGAAGCATCATCCACGAACCAGAAAATTGGCCCTTACCAGACACTGAATCTGCTGATGTCCTGACCATGGACTTCTGAGCCTTCTGAACTGTGAGAGATAAATTTCTGTTGTTTATAAGCCTTCTGGTTGATGATATTTTGTTATAGCAGCCCAAACAGAAGGGGACAGGGAGAGAGATGGAACTCAACTTCAAATACAAACAGGGACAAGTGGGGCTTTAGAGCCAGTGGGCCCAGTGAGGCAGAGGACAGAGAATTACTATGGGGAACTTGGGATAGGGGAGAGAGACCTGATTAGATATCAAGGGCAGGGGGGATTCCCAATAAACTGCCTCAGCAGAATTTTTGCTAAAACTGGGCTCAGCAGGCCATGGAGGAGGCCTAGTTGAGAAGAGGGCTCAGAGTGTGGTCAATGAGAGAGGCTTTGTCAGTTTCAGTCAGGGTTCTTCAGAGAAACAGAAACAATAAGAAAGAGAAAGATTGAGATTTATTTTAAGGGATTGAGTCATGCAATTGTGGATGCTGGCAAGTCTGAAATCTAGGGCAGGCCCTTTGGATAGAAATTCAGACAAGAGTTGAAATTGTAATCTTGGGCCCAAAGTCTGCAGGGCAGACCAGTGGGCTGGAAATCTAGACAGGATTTCTATGTCAGTTTTGAGGCAGAATGCCTTCTTCCCCTGACACCTCAGCTTTTGCTCCTAAGGCCTTCATCTGATTGGATGAGGCCCACCCACATCATGGAGGGTAATCTGCTTTACTTAAAGTCTGCCAATTGTAAATGTTAATCACATCTACAAAATGCCTTCCTAACAACATCCAGACTAGTTGACCAAACAACTGGCCCCAATCGCCTAGCCAAGTTGACAAGAAAAATTAGCCTTCACAGGGTCTGAAGAGAGTATGTGGACACCTAGACAGGTATGTTCAGTCCATCTTTGCTTCCAAGGGATGCTCACAAGTCTCCCCAGTTGATCCTATTTTTTAGGGAAGACAATGCAGAGGATCCTCCCCCACCCCCATCACCCCTTTCCATAACCTAGAGATAAAAATGAAGTAAGAAAGATTTGTTCCTGGGCCGGGTGTGGTGGCTCATACCTGTAATCCTAGAACTTTGGGAGGCCAAGGTGGGTGGATCACCAGCTCAGAAGTTCGAGACCAGCCTGGCCAACATGGCAAACCCCCATCTCTACTAATAATACAAAAATTAGCCAGGTGTGGTGGCGGGCAACTCTAATCCCAGCTACTCAGGAGGCTGAGGCAGGAGAATCGCTTGAACCTGGGAGGCGGGGGTTGCAGTGAGCCAAGATTGTGTCTCTGCACTCCAGCCTGGGCAACAAGAGCAACAAAAAACAAAAAACAAAAAAATTAAAACAAACAAACAAAAAAAGAGATTTGTTCCTGTACCTCAAGTGGACAACTGATGTCCAGAGACCCACTGGACTGAGAACATCCACCTTCCTCAGTTTCTGACTGCCGAGCAATGATGACTGGGGACATTTCATGCAGGTACATCACCGAGGAGTGAAGAAAGTAGTCACCTGAACCAAATAGTAAGGTCTCTGTCCCAGAGAGCCTGGGGGTTTGGCAAAAATGCTGTGAACACCCATATGGGCATTGCATTGTTAATCTGTACATGTGAACAAGAAAGGATTAGCCCCCAGACCTCATACTCAAGGATGATTGTAGTGGAAAGTCCCACTTCCCATTGTGCTTCTGCTTCCTGATGCTCAAGAATAAGCTTTAGGCTTGACCAAGTGGGGGTGGGAGGAAACACAAACAGAAACTGCCACTACCCTCCCCACAAGTAGAAAAATTTAAGCGTGTCTTGTTCTCTAATGAAGTTTTGTAACAGTAGCCTACATGGTGAAAACAAAGTCGAAGCCGCCTCCAGCGTGCTTAAAACCAGGTTTAAGCTGCTGGCTGCTACTGTTGCTTCACCAAGCACCTTAGTTCCAGGGAATGGGCTTCATCTCTGTTTCACAGAGAAGTCCCCTTTGCCAAAGAATGTGGGTGGCCTACAGAGAAGCAGGGCAGTGAATATACTTTCCCTGCCTTCTGTGATGCATTTTCTTCGTGCAGCTCTAAAGCAAGATTGTTTGTTGTTATAATGACGGCCTTTCCGTCTTTACTTACAACATCCTGTTCTCCCAGGACATTAAAGGCTGGGCTGAGAGACAAAGCTGAGGGACGCCTAGTCTGGCTGCCTCCCTGGTGCCAACCAAGTTCCTGACTGGATCAGGCTCAACCTACAGGAATTCCTCCCCCGTCATTCACTCACTAATGTGTTTTAAAAACATATTTTGAGTGCCTACTGCTGGTGCTAGGGAAACAGCTGTGACTAACCATCTCTGACATTCTGGGGTGCCCATCCTCACAAAGGAGGCCTCTGCTCCCAGCACACCAGTGGCAGATGTGTCCACATAGATCCGACTCCAGTTCAAACTCAAAATGACCTCTTTTACTCCTGCTATGTTATATATATTTAAATAGTTTTAAACATTTGTTAAATAGCATTTCATGGGGATATAGTTTCTCTTTCTCTCTTTCTTTTCTTTTCTTTTTTTTTTTTTTTCAGTCTCCCTCTGTCGCCCAGGCTGAAATGCAGTGGCTCAATCTCCTCCACCTCCTGTGTTCAAACGATTCTCCTGCCTCAGCCTGCCGAGTAGCTGGGACTACAGGCATGCACCACCATGCCTGGCTAATTTTTTTGTATTTTTAGTAGAGATGAGTTTTCACCACATTGGCCAGTCTGGTCTTGAACTCCTGACCTCAAGTGATCTGCCCGCCTTTGCCTCCCAAAGTGCTGAAATTACAGGTGTGAGCCATGGTGCCTGGCCAGATGGTGAACATAGTTTCAAAAATTAGATATAGTTTCTGCAATTAGAAAAATGCAGAAAGTGGGCCAAACGCAGTGGCTCATGCCTGTAATCCCAGCACTTTGGGAGGCCAAGGTGATCAAATCACTTTAGGCCAGGAGTTCAAGACCAGCCTCGCTAAAATGGCAAAACCCCATCTCTACTAAAAATACAAAAACTAGCTGGACTTAGTGGTGCATGCCTATAATTCCAGCTACTTGGGTGGCTGAGGCAGGAGAATTGCTTGAACCCAGGTGACAGAGATTGCAATTAGCCAAGATCGTGTCACTGCACTCCAGCCTGGGTGACAGAACAAGACTCTGTCTAAAAAGGAAAGAAAGAAAGAAAGAAAGAAAGAAAGAAAGAAAGAAAGAAAGAAAGAAAGAAAGAAAGAAAGAAAGAAAGGAAGGAAGGAAGGAAGGAAGGAAGGAAGGAAGGAAGGAAGGCAAGCAGGCAGGCAGGCAGGCAAGGGAAGGGAAGGGAAGGGAAGGGAAGGGAAGGGAGGGAAGGAAAGGAAGGGAGGGAAGGAAGGAAAGAGAGAAAGGGAAAAAAGAAAATAACCAAAACGAATAAAAAAAGAAAGAAAAATGCAGAAAAGTATGAAAAAGAAAAAGTATCACTTCTACATTCATATCCAGAGATAACAACGGCTAAAATACCGGTATATTTTCTTCCAGCCTGTTTTCCACCAATATATGTAAAATACGAAACATGTAACACATCCTTGGCTATTATCTCCCTTTCCTTCAGAAGGACTTGGGAGAACAAAGACTCTTGGCTAAAAACTAAATGAAGGTCTTTTTGGAAAGGCCATTTCACAGCCCCTCTCAGGGTAACCAAGGGAGCCTCCTTTGAAGCATAATGTGGCTTTTTTATTTTTCAGGCTGGCCCCAAAAGGCAGGAAGCAAGCCAAACAGGACACAGGCGCAGCATAACAATGTGGTGTACTGACTCCCAGGAAAAAGGGAGGCGTGCTCCTAATTATGAGGATGTTAAGGAAAGGGCTCCTTCCTCATTGTGGGTTTGGGCATGGTCCCTGACAGTTGGTACTAGTGTTTGTCCTTGGGAGATGTGGGTGGCGATGCTTGATGTAACAGGTGCATAATTTAAGGAGGCAGAAGAGCCCAAGGGTCACACTGGGAGGGAAGTTGACAAGAAAAGCTGACCCAGTGGTAGTGTCAACCTGGACCCCTGGTATCTGAGCACCGAAGTCCCTCCCATCCCAGGATGCACAGGGAACGTCTTCAATGGGGGGCTTCCTGACCATCTGCTGAAGCCTGGGGACTGCTCAGGATGAAAGAATCAGACTAAGGGAAGACACTGGAGTCATAGAAAGGGATGGGAGTGGGGCAGGAGATCCTGTTGTTCAGACGGGGGGCTTCTGTTGCCCAAAACGGAATGGAGGTTTAAAGAACGATGCATCACCACAGCAAGGCTGGACCTGGGATGTGTCCTCAGTTACACCCTCTGTGAGGGGCCCATCAACCCATTGCCGTCCCTTTGTCTTGTTTGTTTGTTTGTTTTTCTTGAGACGGAGTCTCGCTCTGTTGCCAGGCTGGAGTGCAATGGCGCAATCTCTGCTCACTGCAACCTCTGCCTCCTGGGTTCAAGCGATTCTTGTGCCTCAGCCTCCCAAGTAGCTGGGATTACAGGCGTGTGCCACCACACCCAGCTAATTTTTATATTTTTAGTAGAGACAGGGTTTCACGATGTTGGCCAGGCTGGTCTCGAACTCTTTACCTCACCATCTGCCCTCCTTGGCCTCCCAAAGTGCTGGGATTACAGGCGTGAGCCACCACACCTGCCCCCATCCCTTTGGATTTTGGGGAGAAGTGCTAATCACTACCTTCAATGAAGCAAATCTTCTTCCTCAACTGCCCAAATCAAAGCCCCCAAATTATGTCAGGACAGCCCAGATTGTAGTAGGAAGACAGAGGTCATTGGAAGGGAGCTTTTTCTCCTGGGGGGAGAAAAAAAAGAAGATAATTCTGTATCTGATACCACAGAGACTTTGTTTTTGTGTTTATTGTCTAATGGAAGAAAAGAAAGAATGTTAGGACATTAGAAAAGAAAGACACAGAGCTATACAAGAAGGACAATGTGGTCAAAACGCACTCCTTAGCTCTACAAAGAACATTGTCAGTGTGGACCTAATAAGGTAGCCTGTTTATTGATTTGACCAAAAATAGAAATAGAGCTACATTGGGAGAATGAAGAGAGGGGAGGGTGATGTAAGAGGGCTAAATCATGATCTATAGGAGGTAAAGCAGCAATGTCCGAATTTAGTAAACTACAACTATGAGTGTACGCTTGGGGAGAGATAGGGTATGGTCAGAGGTGGCACAAAGCAGTGCTTTATCATTATCTTCATCATGTATCCTCTTAGAACTCTTAGCCATGTTTGTGTATAACTTTTACTAAAAATTTATACATCTATAAAGAAAAACTGCCCCAACCATCTGTAAAATGAAAATGTGCCTTCTGGGATGGCTGCTGTAGGAAGCAGATACCCTGGGGCTTGCAAGGGGGTTGGAGGAGAGGGGCCTCATGCACTGCCCTACCATCCCTGTGCTGCCTTGGAGGACCAGCAGCAGCCAGGGCCCAGGTGACCTGGTAGAGACCAGCCATCCAGCAGGTCATGCTCTTCCAGCCATCCAGCAGGGAAGAGCTCCTGATGCTGAGGACCCCCAGAGAGGATCCCTCCTGAACCATGGGTCAGAACCTTCTCTCTACTTCCACACATGAGAGGCAGCTGGCCCTGACTGGGGAAGACCAGGTCAACTCTCCAGTTTCACACAGCTCTGTGTATGGCTTTTTCCATTTAAAATTATCTTGTGGGCATTTTTATGCAATATGTATCTTTTGGAATTTGGTGCAAATGCTATCTGGTCTCATTGTGTGGCTATACCATGTTAACGGCATATCTAAAACACAACACTGTGCTGGCTAAGAGTACAGGTGCATCAATCCTATTTTCTCAACTAGAACCCTGACTCTGTCACTTTCCAGCTGTGTGACATGCGGGGACACACAGCTTCAGCTTCTATCTCTGTAAAATAAGGTAATAAGAGTACCTAATTCACAGGGCACTTGTGAGATTTAAATAAATAAATACATGCAAAGTGCTCAGAGCAAGACCCACTGCTTAATAAACACATAACACATTGTAGCTATTACTATTTTTTAGCAATCCTAGCCAGATTAGGTGGCTGGTGCCTGAAATCCCAGCTACTGAGGTAGGAGGTAGGAGGATCCCTTGAGTTCAACCGTTTGAGGCTGCAGTGAGCTATGACTGTGCCACTGCACTCCAGCTTGGGTGACAGAGTAAGACCCTGTCTCTAATAAAAATAATAATAAGAAGAAGACTCCATCCTCATTTTATTTTATTTATGTACTTATTTATTTTGAGACAGAGTCTCGCTCTGTGCCCAGGCTGCAGTGCAGTGCGTGATCTTGGTTCACTTCAACTTCTGCCTCCCGGGTTCAAGCAATTCTCCTGCCTCAGCCTCTCGAGTAGCTAGCTGGGACTACAGGCACACACAACTACGCCTGGCTAATTTTGGTATTTTTAGTAGAGACAGGGTTTCACCATGTTGGCCAGGCTTGTCTTCAACTCCTGACCTGAGGTGACCCACCTGCCTCTGCCTCCCAAAGTCCTGGGCTTACAGGCGTGAGCCACCGCACCTGGCCGCCATCCTCATTTTAAATATAGGATTTCTTTTTCCTAAAGCACACTTTAATAAACCTCCTTATACAACTTAATCACACACAAAAATTCATATTCGTTAAAGAAAAAAATAGACCATGCACATGAGCAAAAAAAGAAAACAAAAGCTACTTGGAATATTACCCTTTTCCCCCAAAGATAACCGTAATATATTTGGTGCTATATATTTCAAATCTCTTTCCTTTGCGTGTGTGTGTATACACATATGTATACATATACATACACACACATATTTACACATATACACACAATATATTTGTACACTATATACACACATAACTCCTTAGAAAAATTCGTTTTGTGATACTGTTTTATAGTTTTCTTTTTACCAGTTAAGAATAGATCATTGGAGTTATGTGTGTATATAGTGTATATTTTGTGTATATGCGTATATATGTGTGTGTATATATATATGTATACATGTATGTATACACACACACAAAGGAAAGATATATATATGTATATATGTATACATATGTATATATACACATATATACATATATACACATACATATACGTACACACACACACACACACACACACACACAGGAAAGAGATTTGAAATATATACACCAAATATATTGTGGTTATCTTTGGGGGAAAAGGGTAATATTCCAATTAGCCGGGCGTGGTGGCAGGCACCCGTAGTCCCAGCTACTTGGGAGGTTGAGGCAGGAGAATGGCGTGAACCTGGGAAGCGGAGCTTGCAGTGAGCCTAGATCGTGCCACTGCACTCCAGCCTGGGTGACAGAGCGTGACTTCATCTCAAAAAAAAAAAAAAAAGAGTAGATCATTTATAGTTTTCTTTTTCCATTTAAGAAAAAAGTCAACAATAATTTTTAATGGCTGCCTAGTATTCCTTTTCATGTTTGTATTACTCTTTGTTAGTACCCATTGTCCATCACAAACAGCATTTTATTATTCCAAGTTTTGTGTGTGTGCTGAGATAAAAAGCTCACACAGTCTACTCAGGTCCAAAGAGTATAGCTTTTAATTTTCTCTGCAATGATCATAAGATAGTCTCCATTGTGTGTAATAATGAGGAAAACTTAGATGTGCCATTTAAAAGTTTAGCAATCTCTTCTGGTTTATGTCTCTGATTATTCTGTCAATATTCAGTCTCCTACTTCTGAAATCAGCGTCTGGGCTGATGGGGAGTACAGCGTGTCTTCAGCAGCCTCCCCAGCTGTGTGCCCTGTCACATCTGGCCATGGAGTGGAGCAGGCACCTTGGCCTCATGGGAACCTCCCTGTGCAAACTCCTGCAAGCCCTCCATGCCTAGACCATTTTGTCATCAGCCTCCTGGCCAGTCTGTCTAGGCTGGTGCTTTCAGATTTCAGCATGCATGCAAATCACCTGGAAAGTTTGTGAAAACAGACTCCTAGGCACCACATCCAGAGATTCTGATCAGTAGGTCTGGGGTGGGATGGAGAGTCTGCACTTCTAACAAGCTCCCAGGTGAGGCAGGTCCCAAAGCCACACTTTGGAAATGAGTACCCTCATCTACATCTTCACCACAGCCTTGCTGTGCAGTCACTTTGCTCTCACCAAGGTAGTACCTTGGCTGGTCTCTGGCTCTCAACCGAGCTGCCTCCCCACACATTACCAAGAGCTTAAGAGATATCCTAGATTCCTGGTTTTCCATAAGGGAAATTGGAGTGGGGAAGGGGGAGTGGTTCCTACAGCCCTCCCTCTGAGGACATCCCATGCTGCCTCCTCTCCCCCAGGTTGATATGAGGGCTCCTTTTCAGAGGCGCCTTTCCAAAGCACCAACTGGGAAGAGAAACACAAGCTCCCCCCACCCACCCCCCTTACTTCAGGCTTTTGTTCCAAGGTAATTTTTATCTGCCATCTTCCTCCATTTTAACATTAAACCTGAATGTGTAGAGAGATAGACGCAGGGTCACTGTTATCTGACATCCTATGCATCTCTTTCTTACTCCTCACTTTCCTCCCAGAACCAGAGAGCCTTTCTTTTGTTTCCCTCTTGTCTGGAAGTCACTCCTTCATTGTTAATGCCTTGTTTTGTTGTGTGTGTGTGTGTGGCGGCGGGGGGGGGGGCGGGGGGTAGACATTTGGTCACCTTCCCTGGGGCCATAATGGCAGAGTGGCTTCTGGGGAATATAATTTATAGAATATTAAAAATATATAGTTTAATGTTTTCAAAATGTCTCTGGTACACATAGTAATTGTGTTTTATTTTTCGTCATTACATTTGCCAGAATTTGTCTATTTGTTTATGCTGTTTTATTTGATTTTACTTATTAATTTTACTTTTTTCCTATTTTCAGACTCAATAATTATGTTACCTTTATTACATAGGGTAATTATATGTAATACCTTATTATATTTATTATATTTTTTCTTCTACCCTTCTAGGTTTTCTCTGGAATCCTGTACCAAAAAGAAGATTAACAAACAGAAGTTTATTAACATATATATCTAATAAATAGATAAGAGATACCAAAGACATGGCTTTAAGCTAAAACAAAAGAAGAAAGGTGTGAGGGAGGCAAGCTATGGGAAGGTAGCCAGAAAACCAGGTGACCAGGAGAGGTTATGCAGACTGAAGTTGGAGCCTTCTCAATGGATTAGAGTATTAGAGTTGTGATTTTTTTTTCCTTGACACAGACAGTCTTGCTCTGTCGCCCGGGCTGGAGTGCAGTGGTGCGATCTTGGCTCACTGCAATCTCCACCTCCCGGGTTCAAGTGATTCTCCTGCCTCAGCCTCCTGAGTAACTGGGACTACAGGTGCACATCACCATACCCATCTAATTTTTGTATTTTTGTGATTTTTTTAAAGTATATTTTTTAGTAGAGTTTTGTTTTGTTTTGTTTTCAGTTTTTCAACTTCTATTTTAGATTCAGGGCATAGATGCAGTTTTGTTAGATGGGTATGTTGCATGATGCTGAGGTTTGGGGTACAATTGATCCCATCACCCAGGTACTAAGTATAGTGCCTAATATTATTTCAACCCTTGTGCTCCCCCTCCTCTAGTAGTCCTCAGTGTCTGTTGCTGCCATCTTTATGTCCGTGAGTACCCAATGTTTAGGTCCCACTTATAAGTGAAAACATGCAGTATTTGGTTTTCTGTTCCTGCATTAATTTGCTTAAGGTAATAGCCTCCAGCTGCATTCACGTTGCTGCAAAGGACATGATTTCGTTCTTTTTTATGGCTGCATATCTTGTGATTCACAGCCATCCTTCTCTTCCTGGTACAGAGAAGAAGACACTCTTACTAATGGAGATTTCCTCTATAAATTTAAATTTCCTTTACCAAAGCGTAACTTATACTCTGTTTCAGAGCTTCTCCTGTGGCCACTGTTGCTGAAAATAATCAGCTCAAGATAATCCTTATGCCAAAGAAGCATATTTGGTGCAGTATATTCTGGTTTCCTACAGTCATATTTTGGGGTAGCATATTCTGGTCTCCTACAGTTATGTTCTTCATTTTTAGATTTTTTTTCCTTGTTTTTCCTAACATCCTGAATGGAAGGTTTCTTTTGTTTTCATCATTTTGAACTTTAAAGATATATTTCACACTCACATAGAAGTATGTAATTGTACACACATGGGATCATGCCATAGGTGCCGTTTTTACTGTAGAGGCCTTCTCTGCCACTACCACCTCCACCATCCCTTCACAGGAGCACCACACCTCGCATCTTTCTTCTTATATAATAAAACATCTGAAGCTAGAAGCTTATACTTTTTTTTTCCTTTTTTTTTTTGAGATGGAGTTTTTGCTCTGTTGCCCAGGCTGGCATGCAATGGCATGATCTTAGCTCACTGCAAACTCCGCCTCCCGGATTCAAGCAATTCTCTGCCTCAGCCTCCAGAGTAGCTGGGATTACAGGCGCCCACCACCACGCCCAGCTAATTTTTGTATTTTTAGTAGAGACAGAGTTTAACCATGTTGGCCAGGCTGGTCTCAAACTCCTGACCTCAGGTGATCCAACTGCCTCAGCCTCCCAAAGTGCTAGGATTACAGGCATGAGCCACTGCACCCAGCCTAGAAGCTTATCTTTTTATATGATTTGACTATATCCATTACTTCAACATGTAGTATTATCACTGTCTTTTAATTTCTAAAGACATGAAAATCCTGCTGTAGTTTGTGCCATAAATAATGTGAATTTGAAGACAATGCATATTTAGATCTATTGAGATTGGTGCTTTATTTCTTCCCTCTTCTGAACTCTCTCTTCCTTTTCAAATGGGGCAAGCTAAAATTCTTATCTCCCACAGAGGAAGGAGGATGTTAAGAGGAGGAGAGATTGGGCAATGAAATGAAGAGAACATGACTACCAACTTCCCAGGATTCTCCTGACCCATTCTCCCCAATCAACTGGATACCTACGAGCCTCGAGATTCCTGATGATATGGTTAGGCTTTGTGTCCCCACCCAAATCTCATCTTGAATTATAATCCCCATAATCCCCATGTGTCAAGGGAGAGACCAGGTGGAGGTAATTGAATCATGGGGCCAGTTTCTCCCATGCTGTACTCGTGATAGTGAGTTCTCACAACATCTGATGGTTTTATAACGGGCTCTTCCCTCTTCTCTTGGCACTTCTCCTTCCTGCCACCTTGTGAAGAAGGTGCCTTGCTTCCCCTTTGCCTTCCACCATGATTGTAAGTTTCCTGAGTCCTCCCCAGAAATGCTGAACCCTCTTTCCTTTATAAATTACCCAGTCTTGGGCAGTTTTTTATGGCAGCATGAAAATGGACTAATACACCTGAGATGATTGTTTCTGTCCTGGATGTCTAAGTCAGCCATAGAACCTAGCATTGCCCTCATATTTAAGTTGAGGCAGTCATCTACTAGCAGGTATTAAAGAAACATTACTTAAGACACTTGTTAAGGATGGTAGGAAGGCTTTTCTCAAGAGGAGTTACTGCAGTGAGGGTTTTGCAGTGTGGAGGATAGAGATCAAGCTCCACTGTAAATACAAGAAGGACAAATGTGATGTTTAGCTGAGTGAAATGGGAGTTAGTGGATGGAAAATTCCTCAGAGGAAACATCAAAGCTAGGGGGACTCTTGCTAGACCAACTGTTTTTTTTTTTGAAAAACCACTTTATTGAGGCATGATTGACATGAAAAAAGCTGTACATATATAATGTATGTAACTCAATGAGTTTGGGGATGAATATACAGCCATGGGGCTGTCACCATCATCAAGGTCATAAACATATCCATCACCTCCCAAAGTTTCCTCTGTCTTTATTATTATTATTATTATTATTATTATTTGTGTGTGTGTGTGTGTGTATGCATGCATGTATGTGTGTAGTAAGAACACTTAATGTAAGAGCCACCGTCTTAGAAAATTTTAAGTATACAATGCGGTATTGTTAACTATAGGCATCTGCTGTATAGTGGATCTCCAGAACTTATTTTTCTTAACTGAAATTTTGTACCCTTTGACCATCACCTCCCCATTTCCCACTTCATCCAGCACCCAGAAATAACCATTCTACTTTCTGTTTTTATGAGTTTTTTAGATTCCACATGTAAGTTGTAGATCAGATAGTATTTATCTTTCTGTGTCTGGTGTATTTCATTTAGCATAATATCCTCCAGATACATCCATGCTGTCCCAATGGCAGTATTTTCTTTTTTTTTTAAGGCTGAATAATATTCCATAATCTATACTATATTTTCCTTGTTCGTTCATACAGAAATGTGTAGGTTGTTTCCATACCTTGGCTATTGTGAATAATGCTGCAATGAACATGGGAGTGCAGGTATCTCGTATCTCTTTGAGATCCTGATTTCAATTTCTTCAGATAAATACCCAGAAGGGGGGTTGCTGAGTCATATGGTAGTTCTATTTTTAATTTTCTGAGAAACTACCATACTATTTACCATAATGGTGGCACCAATTTACATTTCTACCATCAGTGCACAAGAATTTTCTTTTCTTCATATCCTCACCAGCCATTTTTATCTTTTGTTTTTGACTTAACAGGATTCTTATTTGCTAAAGGCAGGCCAGCATGATAAATAATGTGAATTGGGGGTGGGGAGTGAGGAATTTGATCAGATATTGAGAGTAATCAACTACCAAGGTGGGGCACTTCCACTAAACTGACTCAGCAGGATCTTGCTGGACTAAGTGGCCCAAAGACAGAGGCTAAGGTAGGGACCTAGTCAAGAAGAAGGGCCAGAGGAGCCTGACTCAGGTTTGGTCGAGGACAGAATCTTTGTTACAGATAGCAGCAAATGCGGCCAGGACCTGGATGGATTTGGGGAACTCCCAGCTATAAACACTTGTCCTGGCCAGGTGCAGTGGGTCATGGCTGTAATCTCAGCACTTTGGGAAGCTGAAGCGGGAGGATCACCACTTGAGGCCACAAATTTGAGACCGGCCTGGGAAACAGAGTGAGACCTTGTCTCTACAAAAAAAAAAAAAAAAAAATCATGACTCACTGCTTTCCACCTCAGCCTCCCGGTAACTGGTAGTCTTCTTGAC
The DNA here is from genome assembly GCF_000001405.40 of Homo sapiens. NCBI lineage: Eukaryota > Metazoa > Chordata > Mammalia > Primates > Hominidae > Homo > Homo sapiens. The sequence continues at coordinate 84,307,600 of NC_000010.11, forward strand.
AAAGGGTGTGCCACCATGCCTGGCTAATTTTTCTAATTTTTGTAGAGATGGGGTCTTACTGTTGCCCAGGCTGGTCTTGAACTCCTGAGCTCAAGCAATCCTCCCACCACTGCCTCCCAAAGTGCTGAGATTACAAGTGTGAATCACTGCGCTTAGCCTACGAAAATTTTTTTAAAACATTAACCGGACATGGTAGCATGCACCTGTAGTCCCCATTACTCAGAAGCCTGAGGTAGGAGGATCACTTGAGCCCAATAAGCTGAGTTTACAGTGAGCTATGATTATGCCACTGTACTCCAGCCTGGGTGACAGAGCAAAACCCTGTCTCTAGAAAAATAAAAATAATTTTTTTGGAAAAAAGGATAAAATTTGGCTCTCTAAAGCCACCTTATTTCTTAATGATTCTAGATAACGTAAAAAAAAAAAAAGACAATTACAAGACCTGTCCTGCATCTTTTCATCTCATTAGCCTCTCAATAACATGATCCCATACATTTTACAAGACTGAATTTTTCTGGACCATTTTAAGTGAGTTATGGTGGAGTTTAACTGTCTGCTCCCATCCCCCTATCCCACGAATGCTCAGCCCCAGAGAACAGCTCCCTCTCTCTGATGCTCACTCACCCACCTGCTCTCATGGCTTATTCACATCACACTGTGGTCCCAACTCCTGGCTTTTCTGCATCTCACATTCTTGTTCCCAGTGCTGCCTGCTCTTTCCTCCCTCAAGCCTGCTTGCTTCAACCACTGATTCTGGTACTTTTCAGTTGTGTTTTCTTATTATTATTTTCTAATTTGTATTGATTTCCTATTATGAATAGGTATTTTATGTACATGGTACAGCATCAAAAAGCTACACAGGGTATATGTACAGTAGAAATTAAGTCCCCTTTCACCCACATCTCATAGTAATGGAATCTTCCTCTGTGAAAGTAACCATTGTTACCAGTTTCTTGAGTATCTTCCCAGAGATGACCTGTGAATTTATAAATATTTATGTATATACACATATTTCTTTTCTTCTATACAGATTGAGCATACTATACAGATTGTTTGGTATCTGGCATTTCCCCATTGACATCATAGCTTGGAAAGTGCTCCATTTCAGTGCACAGAGAGCTGCTCATTTTTGTTATTGCTATCACTTTTCTTTGGCTTTGACTCTTGGAAAAAAATGTCTTGGGCCATTCTGGCAGTGTCTCCAAACCTGCCCTCTGCTCCCTGTACTGCAGTTTCTAACGAGAGGTACCCTCTGCCCACCCTCCTCAGAGACTTGCACCATCCCCACCCCTCTCCCTGGCCTTCCTGCCAGTGATGGAGAGGAATGAGCCATTCTAACCACAGAACTTTTCATTTCTCCGAAGAACCACCGAGCTGAAAAGGGAAATGGCTCTTCCTGTAAGGGAGTCTGAGGACTTTCAACAATGACATGCTGGTGCCTGGCAAGGAGCCCAGATTCACAAAACCTTCCCAGCCATATCAGATAAACGGCATTTATACCACTAGGACCAAGATCAGCGATATCAAATCAGCAATCCTTCCTGCTTAATATGCATGCTTCTCTTTTAAGATAAACAAGGGGTCACTTTGCACAAGAAACAGTCAGCATCCTTCTCAGGGCCCAGGGCTGCATGGCATCTCAATTTTGTTACACCTTCATCATACATGTAAGTTTCAAGCATGGGACCTCTTAGCGGGTTGTGTAATTACCACCGCCTAAAAATTTAGCCTCTTCCACCCTAATTCAATGCAGAGACAAACACAAAAGTCCCAAAGTTAGACTTGGTTAAAAAAGAATTTAGGGGCTGAGCCCGGTGGCTCACCCCTGTAATCCCAGCACTTCAGGAGGGAGGATTGCTCCCTACTTCAAGGTGGGAGGATTGCTTGAGTCACCAGTTTGAGACCAGCCTAGGCAACACAGCAAGACCCTGTCTCTACAAAAATATATATTTTTTCAATTAGCTAGGCATGGTGGTGCATGCCTGTAGTCCCAGCTACTTGGGAAGCTGAGGGAAGAGGATTGCTTGAGCCCAGGAGGTCACGGCTGTAGTGAGCTCACCCATGATTGTACCACTGCACTCCAGCCTGGGTGACAGAGCAAGACCCTGTCTCAAGAAAGAATTCAGAGGAGTTTGAGTAAAATTTGGCCAAGAAAAGAATCTTTGTCAAGGGCCAGAGTCTAGGAATGAGGGACTGCAAAAAAACTTGAAGGAATCCAGCCCCCATACCAACCTTGGACCACATTCATCATGACTTTTCCATGGGGGAGAAGTAAATTCTGATCTAGTCACAGCTCTGTCATGTTGAATTTTGCTTTTTTTTTAAATTTAAATCTCTATCTATCCTAAGTAATGAACTACCATCCCATCAGAAATAGATTTTTAAGGCCGGACACCATGGCTCATGCCTGTAATCCCAGCACTTAGGGAGGCTGAGGTGGGAGGATAATTTGAGATCAGGAGTTTGAGATCAGCCTGGTAAACACAGTGAGACCCTGTCTCCACAAAAAAATTTTAAAAATTAGCCAGGCATGGTGGTGCATGCCTGCAATCCCAACTACTCCAGAAGCTGAGGTGAGAGAATCACTTGAGCTCAGGAGTTCAAGACTGCAGTGAGCTATGTTCAGGCCAGTGCCCTCTAGCCTGGGCGACAGAGCAAGCCCTCATCTCTTTAAAAACAAGGAAAAAGAAAGAAAGAAAATAAATATATTTTAATGTTTATTTTTTGAACCTCTGCTGCCAGCAATGGCAATAGTTAATTTATAGATGTTGGTTTTAAAGGTATCTGCTATTCTTATTTCCTGCCTTTCCAACCTGTAGGAAATACTTCAGCTTGAAACTTCCACCCTGCTCGGTGCATGAGCCAGAGAGGTGCATGGAGTGTGCAGGTAGAATGGAGCAGAGAGATACAGAGGATTTTGGAACTGTTCTTTCAAGAGGTTTGATTCTAATATGCCCAGGTTACCCAGCTGACTCCATGGGAACCTACATGCGCATAGAGCCTCAGCCTAACCTGCTGAGTCACAGTAGCAGGAACAGACTTCCAGCTTCTCCCCACATGAGCAGGCCACTCACTCCTCAGAGGCATTCATCCTTTTCTGATCTCTGTTGGAAGAACTGGCTACTGGCCAGAGGCCTGGGATGAGGATCCTCTCCACAGCTGACCCCAAGTACCAAGGAAATTGGAGGCAGAACTGGCATAGGAGCCAGTTGGGAAGAAGTGAGGGAGGTGGCACTGGGTCACTATACTGATGGTTCCCCATCGCTAGCACCACCACTGGGCAGCGGGGCATGGGCATGTTTACCCAACTTAAAGATCCAGGGCAATTTTCGTAGTTTTTGAGAGAAGCCTTTCTGGGTTGCTGGTTCCTGGTCCCCAGCCCAGCTCTAAGCCCAATGGGTCAGGAAGTGCTCAGGGGCTGCCAACTGACTTAGGGTATCCACACTGCTTGGAGAAGCTGCTTCTGAGCCCTATCCACTATGTCAGGCTGAGCCAGATGCCAGCTCACATAAGTTATATTTGCTATAACCTCTGCATGGCAACTGGGAATCCTGAGTCCTCTTCACAATGTCCTCAGTTCTCCTAGACTGGGGATCATCCATCATCCCTTTCCTACCTGGCCCGTTACTGGGCCAACTTCCCAGATGGGACGGAGTTGGCTGGCAGGCAGACCTCAGAAGGGTCCACTGTCTGAGAATGAGGTTGAGCATCAGGGAGAGCTACTGAGCTTTGAACAAGCCAAGAGAAATGTTTCTTGTAACTGTGGCTGGAGTCTTCTGCCTGGAAAGATAGGCAGGAGATACTGCTTCAACAACCAAAGGAAGCAGGAGACATCCCACTTGATGACCCCAATATTTCCCTGCTGCCATAAATGTGTTTTTTCTTTTTTAAATATTACCTGGTCCCATTGTTCCTTCCGGTGGGTTCGTGGTCTCGCTGACTTCAAGAATGGAGCTGTGGACCTTCCTGGTGAGTGTTACAGCTCTTAAAGATGGCACAGACCCAAAGAGTGGGCAGCAGCAAGATTTATTGTGAAGAACAAAAGAACAAAACTTCCGTAAGGTGGAAGGGGACCCCAGCGGGTTGCCACTCCTGACTGCGGTGGCCAGCTTTTATTCCTTTGTTTGTCCCTGCCCACATCCTGCTGATTCGTCCATTTTACAGAGTGCTGATTGGTCCATTTTACAAACCTCTAGCTAGCCCCAAAGCACTGATTGGTGCATTTTTACAGAGCACTGATTGATGCATTTTACAAACCTCTAGCTAGCCACAGAGCGCTGATTGGTGCGTTTTACAATCCTCTTGAAAGACAGAAAAGTTCTCCAAGTCCCCACTCGACCCAGGACGTCCAGCTGGCTTCCCCTCTTACCATGGGCTTTTGGCAACCCCATTTGCCCCAAAACAGCAGGTCAACTCTCTACTTTTTCCTAGTGCAGCAGCACAACTTCTCCCAAATGCTGCCATAACGTATTGAAAGCTACAACCTCTCTCCATATGTTTAGACACCATCTTAGAAAGAAAAGCAAAACCGGAGGCAGCCATTGAGATCTTGGGCCTTTTTATACAACATTGAAGACTTCTTAAACAGTATTATTCGAAAGATCACCTATATCCAAGTTTTAAATAGATTAATATTTTGTAATTATTTTTTCTCAAAAAACAGCGAATAGAGAGAAACTCAGGAAAAAATCCAGATTAGTTACAGTCAAATAAAGGAATTTCTCTTTTCCTGCCATTATGGGCTGAATTGTGTCCTCTTAAAATTCATGTTGATAGACTTTCTTTAAAAAAAAAAAAAGAATAAAAAAGGATAAAAAGAAGTATAACATGAAAATATGTTATTAGTATAAAAAAATTTACTCGCCAAGCACAGTGGTTCGCACCTGTACTCCCAGCATTTTGGGAGGCCGAGGCGGGCAGATCCCCTGAGGTTGGGAGTTCAAGACCAGCCTGACCCACATGGAGAAACCCCATCTCTACTAAAAATACAAAATTAGCTGGGCATGGTGGCACATGCCTGTAATCCCAGCTACTTGGAAGGCTGAGGCAGGAGTATCACTTGGACCTGGGAGGCAGAGGTTTCGGTGAGCCAAGATCGCGCCATTGCACTCCAGCCTGGGCAACAAGAGTGAAAATCCATCTCAAAAAAAAAATAATAAAAATAAAAAAATAAAAAATATATACATTAGACTGGTCACAGTTGTTCACACCTGTAATCCCAGCACTTTGGGAGGCCAAGACAGGAGGATTGCTTGAGGCCCAGAGTTCAAGAGCAGTCTGAGCAACATAGTGAGATCTTGTCTCTACAAAAAATTTAACAATTAGCCAGGTGTTGTGGCGTGTGCCTGCAGTCCCAGCTACTAGGGAGGCTGGGGTGGGAGGATGGCTTGAGCATCGGAGGTGAAGGCTGCAGTGAGCTGTGATTGCACCACTGTACTCCAGCCAGGGCAACCTAGTGAGACCCTATCTCAACAACAACAAAAAAGTAGTTTGACCTAAGCCCCAGATGGGGGGAACAGATCTGAGTAAAGCCCCTTGCTGGTTGACCTTGCAATAGAGCCTTTTATTTTTTCAAAAGCTGGTGCCCTAGTATTGTCTTCTATGTGCATCAGACAGTGAGCCTATTTCTTGGTAACATCTTAAATTTTTCACATAAATGGGAGCATGTTGTAATATCTAGTTATTTAGCACTTCCTACGTGCCAGGCTTACATACATAAGCTCACTTAATTCTCATAGCAACCTAATTTTTTCCCCATTTACAAACATGAAAACTAGGGGACAGAAAAATAAAGTAGCTTGCCCAAAGCCTCACAACATGGAAGTGACAAGTGGCAGAGCCAGGATTTACAGCAAGGTGGTGAGGCTGTGCAATTCCCAGGCACAGAGAAACTTGTTTTTTCACTTAAAGATACTTTCTGGTAGTTTCCAGGGGTGGTGGCTCATGCCTGTAATCCCAGCACTTTGGGAGGACGAGGCGGGCGGATCACTTGAGGTCAGGAGTTCAAGATCAGCCTGGCCAACATGGTGAAACCCCGTCTCTACTAAAAATACAAAAATCAGCCAGGCGTGGTGGTGGGCACATGTAATCCCAGCTACTCGGGAGGCTGAGGAAGGAGAATTGCTTGAACCTGGGAGGCGGAGGTTGCAGTGTGCTGACACTGACCCACTGCACTCCAGCCTGGGTGACAGAGTGAGACTCTGTCTCAAAAAAAACAAAGATACTTCCTGGTAGTTTCCCACCTCATTACGCATATACTTACTGCATTTGTTTTAAGAGACACTTGGAATTCCACGTTTTATTGTGGGGTATAAAAATGAAGCCCGCATATTGCTGCTTTAACAAGTAGCCTTCTGTCCACCTTCAAGAATAGTGACTCATCTGGAAGGAATGGAGGCATTTCCTCTCTCATCAATAGAAGTAGAGATTGGTCTTTGTGTTTCTGAAGACTGGTGGGTGCTCCTTAACTTAGAGCGAAGACACTTTTTTCATCGTTAACAGTTAGAGCTCCTTTTTGAGAAGCGTTACCTGAGAGGATGTTAAGCCTTATTATGAGAGAAAGGAGGCAAAATGAGTGTTTGCAGGAGTGGTACTAGAGAGATTTGGAGCTGGCACCCTAAGACATGACTGGGAGTAGGGAACAGGGCCAAGGTCTCTGGGTCCTGAGGCTGGGAACCTGGCCATTGATGAATGGTCCCATCGGTGGTGTGTGGCCTGGAATAGATCTGAATGGAGGAAGGGGCTTTAGGGGGTTCTGGACAAATGCCCAGGAGGGATATCAGACCAGAGAAGGGGCGCCCTGCACCAAGAGGCAACTCAGCAGGGCAGGCCCAGTGGTGGGAAAGGAGTCTACAGCGGTGGTCATGTCCCCTGTCTGCCCTGCCCAGTGTGGGGAACCCCTTAAGCCCATGTCCCACCACGAAACCTCCTCACAGCTCAGCTGCCAGTGAGGGGCTTCCCCTTAGTGCCCCAGGAATTTGGCAAGCTTTCAAGATCATCTTTTTCTCCTATTCTCAATCTCTTTTTCTGTTTGCTCCCATTTGCAGATATCCTCAACTTTATTTTCTAGCCGTTCTATTGAGTTTTCATCACTGCTATATCTTTTTCATTTTGAAGGACTCTTTTGTGTTTTTTATGACATTTATTCTTGTTTCATGGATGCAATATTTTTTCTTATTTCTCTGGATGTATCACTTATAGTTTTTAGGAATGAAGCATAAGGGGGCTAGTTTTCTTCCTCTTGGAGTTTCCAGATCCTTTCAGGTTTATTTGCCTGGGTCTCTATTTTCCATGTTAGAGGTTGTCCTCTAGTGTCTTGCAATTTTGGTTTCTTATTTGTTGTTAAATGGGGAGGGCAAAATAACAGATCCTACCAAACAATATTGAATTCTGTATATGTATAAAAGAGAAATTACCTTCTTTTTCAAATGAACATAAAACATTCATGAAAATTGACCAAATATTAGGCCACCAAGAAAATCTCAAGAAATTCCAAAGAATAGAAATTAAAAATTGTGGCCGGACATGGTGGCTCATGCCTGTAATCCCAGCACTTTGGGAGGCTGAGGCGGGTGGATCACTAAGTCAGGAAATCGAGACCATCCTGGCTAACATGGTGAAACCCCGTCTCTACTAAAAAATATAAAAAATCAGCCAGGTGTGGTGGCGGGCGCCTGTAGTCCCAGCTGCTCAGGAGGCTGAGGCAGGAGAATGGCGTGAACCCGGGAGGCGGAGCTTCCAGTGAGCCGAGATCGCGCCACTGCACTCCAGCCTGGGCGACAGAGTGAGACTCCGTCTCAAAAAAAAAAAAAAAAAAAAAAAGAAAAGAAAAGAAATTAAAAATTGCATTATCTGATCATAATGCAATAAAACTAGAAATTAATGACAGATTTTTTTAATCTGAAAATTCCTTTTTCCTGGTAATTTAAAAATACTCCTTTAAGCAGCTCCTTGGAAAATGAAAAAATAAAATTATTGAATTTCTTGAAAATAATAATAAAACCAAGACATATAATCTCTGTAATAATGCTAAAGTAGCTGTGTTTGTTGTTATGATATGTATATTGTTCTTTGTCCACAGTTCCTGGCGCATAACTCCCATAACTTTTGTTAGTCTTCTGTTACAATGTTGGGTGTGTTAAGTCTCAGGAAACAGAATCTCTCTGACCTTCTCCTCCCCTTCTTTCACCTGCCCAAAGGCAGGACTCTAATCTTTCCTCGTTTCTGACTGTGAGTCCTAAAACCCTTATTCCAGAGAGGGTTCCACTCCATTCCCTGGGGGAAGAATGCTGAGGTCCCGAAGCTTCCATGAAAAGCCAAGATGCCTGAGTTCAGAGAGGTTCCAGGTAGCTGAATACATGGAAGTTTCTGAGGAGTGGCACACCCCTTCCCCCCTACCTCTGCCTATGCATCTTTTCATCGGTATCCTTTGTTACATCCTTTAAAATAAACCATTAGGCCGGGCGTGGTGGCTCACACCTGTAATCTCAGCACTTTGGGAGGCCGAGGCGGGTGGATCATGAGGTCAGGAGTTCAAGACCAGCCTGACCAATATGGCGAAACCCCGTCTCTACTAAAAATACAAAAATTAGCTTGGCATGGTGGCCAGGCCTGTAATCCCAGCTACTCTGGAGGCTGAGGCAGGAGAATTGCTTAAACCTGTGAGGTGGAGTTTGCAGTGAGTTGAGATCATGCCATTGCACTCCAGCCTGGGCAACAGAGCAAGACTCCATCTCAGAAAAAAATAAATAAAATAAAATAAACCATTAAATATAAGTGTTTCCTTGAGTTCTAAGAGCCACTGCAGCAAATTAATCAAATCCAAAGAGGGTCATGTAACCCCAACATTTTTATTTAATAGAGATGGGATCTCAATGTGTTACCCAGGCTGATGGCAAACTCCTGTCGTCAGGTGATCCTCCTGCTCCCAAAGTGTTGGGATTACAGACATGAGCCACCATCCCCAGCTGGGAACCTCAACTTGAAGCCGATCAGTCAGAAGTTCCAGAGTCTCGGACTTGCCACTGGGTGTCTAAAGGGAGGGAGACTAGCTTAAGGGACTGAGAGCCCTCAACCTGTGGGATCTGATGCTGTCTCCAAGTAGATAGTATCAGAATGGAATTGGAGAATATGCAGCTGGTGTCCACTGCTTGTTGGTGGGGAAAAAACTTCACACATTTGGTCACAGACATTTTCTGTGTCGATTGCTGTGTTGGTGTGAAAGCAGAGGGAAAACATGGTTTGAGAATTTTTCCCAAAGAGCAGTTATTACAGGAAAATTTATGCCTTTAAGTATCTGGCGCAATAAAAATGAAAGCATAAATATAAATAAATTTAATGTCTGAAATAGAAAACAAAATGGCAGAGTAAAACCAAGAGAAGCAAAAAAGGAATTAATAAAGATAAAATTATAAATAATGATTTGGAAAACAGAAGAGTAAAAATAATAAATTTAAAAGCTAGATATTTGAAAAACACAAAAAATACACAAACTCTTATCTAATTTAAGCTTTAAAGAAGAGAAAACACAAATACAAAAATATAGAAATAATAGCATAAAAAATAGAAAGCAATTTAAGAAGAAAGTACTTTGTTCAACTCTGTGCAAATAAGTATGAAAATCTGGAAGAAATGGGTATTTTTTAGACAAATACAACTTACTAAAATTGAAACCAGTAGAAACAGAAAGTCTAAAACTAATTTCTGAGGAGGAAATGAAAAGGCTGAATAGTTCTTTCATAAAAACAAAGAAACACTAAGCCAAATGATATCACAAAGGACTACGTAATCTTTAAGGATCAGCTAATTCCATTGTTACTTAAACTATTTCAGGACATTTCATTTTAGGAAGCGTATTTTTTGTAGAGACAAGAGTCTCTATTAATTATACTATTAATCCCCCAACCTGACAAAGATTGCATTGTTTTTATTCCTATATATTTCAGATTTGTTTGGAATAAATTTCAAAGATTTTTATTCCAATAAAAGAAAACCACAGACAATTCTCCCTTAAGAATTTCAATGCAGAAAACTTAAAATAGACCCTGGCAGCAGATTAAATGATGCATTGTGATCAAGTGGGGTTGATTTTAAGAATGCAGTGTTTCAATGTCAAATTGAAATTTGAGAATGCAAAGTGTTTCATTAATATATGATCATCTCTACAGATGTAGAAAAGACATTTAGCAAATTCAATATTGGTGTACTTTTTTTTTACAACAAAACATTCAGTAAACTAGGAATTGATAGCTATATCCTTAACATGATAAAAAATGTATCATAGCCCAAAAGTCAGCATCTTAGTAGCTTTTCTGCTAAAGCAATGAAAAAAACAAAGATTTCATTATGTCCTGTACTATAAAACATAATGTTGGCAGCATTAGCCAATAAATGCTATTTACAGAGGTCATGATTATGTCTGGAAAACCTTGAAGAATTGGTGAGAAAACTCATACAAACAAGATAATGTAGTAAAGTACCAAATGTTTACAATCAAATTAACATATAAACACCAAAGACATGCATACATACAAACTAGAAACAGAAGACATAGTGGAAAACAAGACTCCATTTATTACAGCACACAAAATACCAGGCATAAAAATAAGAGATAACGTCCAAAAGATGAAAACTACAAAATAATTCTGAACTCACAAAAATGAATTTGAAAAAATAGAAAGACATGCCAAGTTGCTGGATAAGAAGATTCAATCTTATAAAGATGAGGTTTTAAATAAGGTATTATAAAACTAATTTATAAATGCAAAGCAGGCTTGGTAAGGTGGCTCATGCCTATCCCTTTGGGAGGCTGAGGCAGGAGGGTTGCTTGAGGGCAGGAGTTCAAGACCAGCCTAATTAACATAGTGAGATTCTTGTCTCTACAAAAAATATAAAAAATAAATAAATATAAAGCAATTCCAATAAAAATGCCATCTACCTTTTCACCTGGAACTAGATAGGTTGATTATAAAATTTATTTGGAAGAACAGAGAAACAAAAATAACCAGAAAACTCATGGAAAAAAATAAAAAACCAATGCAGAGGCTGAGGGCTAGCTTTACCAGGTATTAAAATATATTATTCAGTTTCTGTATTCAAAACATTTTGAGGCCGGGCAAGGTGGCTCACACGTGTAATCCCAGCACTTTGGGAGGCTGAGGCAGGCGGATCATGAGGTCAGGAGTTCGAGACCAGCCTGACCAACATGGCGAAACCCCGTCTCTACTAAAAATACAAAAATTAGCCAGACGTGGTGGCATGCGCCTGTAATCCAGCTACTCAGGAGGCTGAGGCAGGAGAACTGCTTGAACCCGGGAAGGGGGAGGTTGCAGTGAGCCGAGATAGCACCATTGCACACCAGCCTGGGTGAGAGAAAAAGACTTCGTCTCAAAAAAAAAAAAAAAGAAAACATTTTGATAATGGCTCAATATATAGAACATTTTAAAATATAAAAATAGACTAAATTGAATTTGAAAAGGTAATACATGACAAAGTAGCATCTTAAACCAGTGAGGAAATAATAGACTTTTAAAAATACTTTTTTTTTTTTTTTTTTTTTTTTTTGAGACAGGGTCTTGCTGTCGCCCAGGCTGGAGTGCAGTGGTGCAATCATGGCTCATTGCAGCCTCAACCTCCCAGGCTCAAGTGATCCTCCCACCTCAACCTCCCCAGTAGCTGGGACTACAGGTGCATGCCACCAGACCTGGCTAATTTTTGTAGAGATAAGGTTTCATCACGTTGCCCAGTCTGGTCTCCAACTCCTGGGCTCAAGCAATCCACCCATCTAGGCCTCCCAAAGGGCTGGGATTACAGGCATGAACCACCATGCCTAGCCAAAAAAAAAAAAAATACTCTTTAATTGAGGTATAATTATTATATTAAAACGAACAGCTTTTATTTGAATAGTTCAATGAATTTTGACAAATTTATACACCAATGAAACCACCATGTCAATCAAAACACAGAGCATTTCCAGGACCCCAGAAAATACTATCATGCGACTTTTCCTTCACCATCTTCCCATTTGCCCCCAAGGCAACCATTATTTTGATTTCTATCATCATAGGCTAATTTTTTCTGTGGTAGAATTTTATACAAATGAAATAATACAGTATGTACTCTTTAGTGTCTGGCTTCTGTTGCATGTCTCAGTAGTTCATTCCTTTTAAATGCTGACCTACTATTCTCTTGTATGTGTGTACCACGATTTGTTTATCCATTTACCTGTTCATAAACAAGTAATTATTGCCAGTTTGGGCCTTTATGAACATACTCACTTAAGTCATTTTGTGGACATATGTTTTTATTTCTCTTGAGTAAATACCTAAAACTGAAGTTGCTGGATCACACAGCAAGGACATGTTTAACTTTATGAACAACTAACAGAGTGAGCTTCAAAATAGTTTTATCGTTTTAAATTCTCACCAGCAGTATATGAGAGAGTTCCAGGGGTTTCATATTCTTCCCAACATTTGGTGTTGTCAGTCCTTTGAAATTCTTAGCCAAATTATATGTTAATGTGAAGTGAGATGTCATTGGACTTTAATGTGCATTTCCTTGGTGACTAATGATGTTAAGCACCTTTTTATGTGCTCATTTATGTGTCTTCTTTTGTTAAGTGTCTATTTATTACAGTTGCCCATTTCAAAATTTGGGTTGTTTGTCTTTTCATTATTAATTTGGTGAGTTCTTTAAGTATTCTCAGTACAAGTTATTTTTCAGATTCACAGTTTTCTTGTGGTAATTAGTTTTTCCTTGAAAATATGAAATAATGTACTTAAAATATTCAAGTATCTAAGTATCTTTTATTGTATCAATTTTTTGAGTAACTTTAACAATTTCTTTTTTGATACGGAGTCTTGCTCTGTCACCCAGGCTGAAGTGCAGTGGCATGATCTCGGCTTACTGCAACCTCTGCCTCCTGGGTTCAAGCAATTCTCGTGCCTTAGTCTCCCAAGTAGTTGGGATTACAGGCATGTGCCACCATGCCCCACTAATTTTTGTATTTTTAGTAGAGACGGAGTTTCACTACGTTGGCCAGGCTGGTCTTGAACATCTGACCTCAGGTGATCCACCTGCCTTGGCCTCCCAAAGTTCTGGGATTACAGGCGTGAGCCACCGCACCTGGGCAACAGTTTCTTTTAGAGTTTAAAAAGGCATTCCAGATCTCTTCCACTTTGAATTAAATTTGATAATTTTCAGGGGAAATTTTTCTTTCATTGAGATTATCAAATTTATAACTACAAAACTAGTCATACTCAGAATTTTTAAATAATTAAGTCTCTTAAGGATCTATTGTTAGCCTACATGTTAATGTTCGTGATTAACTTCAGTTGCTTCTTATATGATATTTAATTCATTTAATTCTCACAAGAAAAACATATTTCTTAGCTTTTGCAGGTCTGCCTATGTCACTGACATAGTTTGATATATGTCCCCGCCAAATCTCATGTTGAACTATAATCCCCAGTGCTGGAGGTGGGGCCTGGTGGGAGGTGTTTGGATCATGGGAGTGGATCCCTCATGAATGGTTTGGCCATCCCCTTGGTGATAAGTGAGCTCTTACTCTGAGTTCATAAGATATCAGGTGTTTGGATCATGGGAGTGGATCCCTCATGAATGGTTTGGCCATCCCCTTGGTGATAAGTGAGCTCTTACTCTGAGTTCATAAGATATCTGGTCATTTAAAAGTGTGTGGCATCCCTCCCCTTCACTCTCTCTCTCTTGCTTCTGCTTTTGCCATGTGATGTACCTGCTTCTCCTTCATCTTCTGCCATGATTGTAATCCTCCCAAGGCTTCCTTAGAAGGCAAGCTGATGCCAGCATCATGCTTCCTATAAAGCCTGCAGAACTGTGAGCCACTTAAGCCACTTTGTAAACTACCTAGTCTCATGTATTTCTTTCTTTTTTTTTTTTTTGAGATGGAGTCTCACTCTGTCACCCAGGCTGGAGTGCAGTGGCACAGTCTCGGCTCACCGCAACCTTCGCCCCCTGGGTTCAAGCGGTTCTCCTGACTCAGCCTCCCAAGTGGCTGGGATTACAGGCACACACCACCACGCCCGGCTAATTTTTTGTATTTTTAGTAGGGACAGGGTTTCACCATTTTGGCCAGGCTGGTCTTGAACTCCTGACCTCAGGTGATCCACCTGCCTTAGCCTCCCAAAGTGTTAGGATTACTGGAGTGGGCCACCGCACCTGGCCTCAGGTATTTCTTTATAGCAATGCGAGAATGGACTCACACACTGCTATAGAAATCAGTATGACATTTCCTCAAAAAATTAAAAAAGAATTACCATGTGATCCGACAATTTCACCTCTGAGTAAATAACTAAAAGAATGGAAAGCACAGTCTTGAGGAGATATCTGCACACTCACATTCATAGTAGCATTATTCATGATAGCCAACAGAAGGAAGGAACCTAAGTGTCCACCAATGGATGCACAGATAAGCAAAATGTGGTTTATGCATCCAATGGAATGTTATTCCACCTTAAAAAGAAAAATACTGACACACCCTACAACATGAATGAATCTTGAAGACATTATGCTAAGTGAACTAAGCCAGTCATGAAAAGACAAATGCTCTATGGTTCCACATATATGAGGCACACAGAGTAATGAAATTCATAGAGACAGAGAGTAGAACAGTGGTTCCCAGGGGCTGGGGGAGAGGGGAATGGGGAATTGTTGTTTCATGGGTATAGAGTTTCAGTTTTGCAAGATGAGAACAGTTCTGGAGATGGATGGTGGTGATGGTTGCACAGCAACATGAGTGTACTTAATAGTACCAAGCTATACAATTAAAAATGGTTGGGAGTAAATGTCATGTGTATTTTACCACAACAATTTTCAAAAAAAAAAAATCTAGTGCATATCAGGTTCACAATCATGTTAGTTTAATTTTTCCTTCACAGGAGAGGAAAACATGGAAGCAATGTGAACTCTCCATGAATTTGTAAGCTAAATCATGTAGAATCCATACTCTCTCTGGAACCTCTATAGCAGGCTGGCAGACTGCAATGCTTACAGGAACCAGGCAAGCAAATGAGTGGATGGAGTTAGTGTAGACAAAAGGGCCTTATATGACTCTGGCCAATTGGAGAGAACTGAAAATGTGGATTTTTTAAATATGTGAAATTCATCAACTTTTAAATTTTTGGTAATGAATTCAAATTTTAAAAATCATGGTGTGGCCAAACAAAATGTACCTGTGGGCTGAATTTTATCTAAAGCTGTTATTTTGTGCACTCTGCACAAGAGATGAAGGGAAGATTGCCAATGTACAGGCATCTTGCCTGCTGTGGCCAGGCAAAGAGGCTATGGTGACAGGGATGGAGGTTATGAATGGGCTCAGCAACATGGACTTCCACTCACCAAGGCTGACCTGGCTACGGCTACCATTAACTGCCCAATTTCCCAGCAGCAGAGACCAACACTGAGCACTTGATGTGGCACCATTCCTTGGGGTGATCAGCAAGCTACTTGTTGGCAGGTTCATTATATTGGACCTCTTCCATCATGTAAAGGACAGCAGTTTGTCTTCACTGGAATAGCCACTTGCTCCAGATATGGGTTTGCCTATCCTGCATGCAATGCTTCTGCGAAGACTACCATCCGTGGACTCACAGAATGCCTTATCCAGCATCATGTTACTCCACACAGCATTGCCTCTGACCAAGGCACTCACTTTACAGCTAAAGAAGTGCAGCAGTGGGCTCATGCTCATGGAATTCACTGGCCTTACCATGTTCCCCATCATCCTGAAGCAGCTGGATTAATAAAATGGTGGAATGGCCTTTTAAAGTCACAATTACAATGTCAGCTAGGTGACAATACTTTGAAGGGCTGGGGAAAAGTTCTCCAGCAGGATGTGTATACCCTGAATCCGCATCCAATGTATGACACTATTTCTCCTGTGGATTTCTCCTTGAGGATTCATGGATCCAGGAATTAAGGGGTGGAAGTGGAAGTAGCACCACTCACCATCACCTCCACTCATCATCATCCCTAGTGACCTACTAGCAAAATTTTTGCTTCCTGTTCCTGCAACGTTATGTCTTGCTGGCCTGGAGGTGTTAGTTCCAGAAAGAGGAATGCTGCCACCAGGAGACACAACAATGATTCCATTAAGCTGGAAGTTAAGATTGCCACCTGGCCACTTTAGGCTCCACCTACCTCTAAGTCAACAGGTTAAGAAGGGAGTTACAGTGTTGGCTGGGTTGATTGAGCCATACTACCAAGATGACATCAGTCTACTACTCAACAATGAAGGTAAAGAAGAATATGAATGGAATACAGGAGATCCATTAGGGTGTCTCTTAGTATTACCATGCCCTATGATTAAGGTCAATGGGAAACTACAACAACCCAATTCAGGCAGGAATACAAATAGCCCAGACCCTTCATGAATGAAGGTTTGGGTCACTCTACCAGGTAAAAAACCATGACCTGTTGAGGTGCTTGCTGAGGGCAAGGGGAATACAGAATGAATAGTAGAAGAAGGTAGTCGTCAAGACCAGCTACGACCACATGACCAGTTGCAGCAACGAGGACTGTAATTGTCATTAGTCTTTCCTCCTTCTTTTGTTAAGAACATGTTTGTGCATGTGTACACTTGTACTAAGAAAATATCTTCGTTTTATTTCCTTTATTTTTCCTTTGTCATGTGACATAAGATTTATTGACTTCATATTAGCATTTAAGTGTTGTTAACTTTACGAAATAGCATTTAGGTTAAGGATTAGTACACTTCCGGTTGTATGAAGGATGGCTGTATTCTATTAGGCATAATTATGACCTTATTATTATCTTTATTTGAAGATTATGTATGATTTCAGGAGATGTGTATGGGTTCAAGGTTGACAAGGGGTGAACTTGTGATGGTTAATATTGTCAACTTGATTGAACTGAAGGATGCAAAGTATTGTTCCCGGGTGTGTCTGGGAGGGTGTTGTCAAAGGAGATTAACATTTGAGTCAGTGGGCTGGGAGAGGCAAACCCACCCTCAATTCGGGTGGGCACCATCTAATCAGCTGCCAGCACGGCTAGAATAAGGCAGGCAGGAGAAGACGGAAGGACTAGACTTGCTGAGTCTTCTGGTCTTCATCTTTCTCCCATGCTGCATGCTTCCTGCCCTCAAACATCAGACTCCAAGTTCTTCAGCTTTTGGACTCTTGGACTTACACCAGTGATTTGCCAGGGGCTCTTGGACCTTTGGCCACAGACTGAAGGCTGCACTGTCGCCTTCCCTACTTTTGAGGCTTTGGGACTCGGACTGGCTTCCTTGCTTCTCATCTTGCAGATGGCCTATTGTGAGACTTCACCTTGCAATCGTGTGAGTCAATACTCCATAATAAACAACCTTTCATATATACATCTATCCTATTAGTTCGGTCCCTCTAGAGAACCCTGACTAACACATTATTTTTCATCTTTCTGGGCCTCGCCAATCAATTTAGGGAATGAAAAGAAGGAATTCATTCTACTTTGTTCCCGTTTGTCATCTTCACAGCTGAGAAGCAGGCTTTCTACATCTTCACCAGGAGGCCAGTTTGTGGATACTCTGTCTTTTACTGGTAAAGATGCTCCTTGTTGCTGGATTCTAGATCCAGAAGGCATCAAGGCATGCAAAGTCTTCGAAATTAGGGCCAACAAGGAAAACTTTCTGTGATTGTGGGAGCCGAGAGTTCCCATCATCAGACTGCCTTCTGTGAAGAACTGGTGATTTCTTCTAGAAAATCAATCCCATTGACTCCTGTCCTTGTTCATGACTTAATCCAGAACAGTGCCTGTGGATGCTCAGTAAATATTTGTGAGATGAAAGGGGGAGATTTCTCTTTTAATCTTATTTATTTACAGATGGGATCTCACTGCTGCCCAGGCTGGAGTGCAGTGGTGCAATCATAGCTCACTGCAGCCTCAAACTCCTGAGTTCAAGCAATTCTTCCACCTCAGCCTCCTGAGTAGCTAGAACTACAAGTGTGCACCACTACATCCAGCTAACTTTTATTATTTTTTATTTTTGTAGAGATGGGGGGTTCTCACCATGTTGCCCAGGCTGGTCACACTCCTGGCCTCAAGTTATCCTCCTGCCTTGGCCACCCAAAGCTCTTGCTTGAGCCACCATGCCTAGCCAGGAGATTTCATCAGAGATTCTTGTCTGTTGTATTTTTTTTTTTCTTAGAGACAGGGTCTTGCTATGTTGCCCAGGTGGGGCTTGAACTCCTGGCCTCAGGCAATCCTCCAGCCTCAACCTCACAAGTAGCTGGAATTACAGGTGTGTGGGACTGCACCCAACTTGTCTGTTTTTGGATGGTCTCCAGAATCATCTCCTACTGGGGCTCTGGATCAACTGTTTCATTGTGCTGTTTGTCATGGAATCCTAAAACTTCCCCTGAAAGAATGTCTCTCTCTTACATCAAGAGGATGCCAAAAAAGGAGAATTTAGGTTGCAGATGGAATTAAGGCTGTTAATCAACTGGCCTTAAAATAAGGTTCTTATTCTAGAGCATCCAGTTGGACCCAACATAATCATGTGTCCTTAAAAGTGGAAGACTGAGACAGAAGAGGAGGTCAGAGTGATGCAATGTGGGAAGGACTCAAACTACTCTTGCAGGTTTTGAAGATGGAGGAAGGGCAGGCCGGGCACGGTAGCTCACACCTGTAATCCCAGCAGAGGCCGAAGCGGGCGGATCACTTGAGGTCAAGAGTTTGAGGCCAGCCTGGCCAACATGGTGAAATCCTGTCTCTATTAAAAATACAAAAATTAGCTCGGCGTGGTGGCACATGCCTGTAATCCCAGCTATTTGGAAGGCTGAGGCAGGAGAATCGCAGAACCTGGGAGGTGGAGGCTGCAGTGAGCCCAGATCTCACCACTGCACTCCAGTGTGGGTGACA
Source organism: Homo sapiens (assembly GCF_000001405.40). Taxonomy (NCBI): domain Eukaryota; kingdom Metazoa; phylum Chordata; class Mammalia; order Primates; family Hominidae; genus Homo; species Homo sapiens. The sequence goes on from NC_000010.11 coordinate 84,326,494, forward strand.
GAGCAAGATTCCATCTCAAAAAAAAAAGAAAAGACCCAGGAAAATTAACTGAAAGCAAATAAAACGTATCAAGGATGCTTATAAAATTAGGAAAATACACTAAAATGCTATTGTGATTCTGCTAAGTATGTACATGTATTAGCATTATGGGAAAGTTTTTTCCTAGCCTTCTTTTTTTTTTTTTTTTTTTTTGGAGACAGGGTCTTGCTCTGTCACTCAGGCTGGAGTGCAGTGACATGATCACAGCTCACTGTAGTCTCAACCTCCTGGGCTTAAGTAATCTTACTGCCTCAGCCTTCTGAATAGCTGGAACTACAGGCATATGCCACTAAGCCTGGTTAATTTCTTTTTTTTTTAATAGACTAGGTCTCTATGTTGCCCAGGCTGATCTTGAACTCCTAGGCTCAAGTGATCCTCCCGCCTCAGCCTCTCAAAGTGTTGAGGTTACAGTCGTGAGCCACCACAACTGGCCTGGGCATTTTATTTTATTTTATTTTATTTTTGAGATGGAGTCTCACTCTGCCGCCCAGGCTGGAGTGCAGTGGCATGATCTCATCTCACCGCAACCTCCACCTCCCAGGTTCAAGCAATTCTCCTGCGTCAGCCTCCTAAGTAGCTGGGATTACAGGAATGCGCCACCACGCCCGGCTAATTTGTTGGTATTTTTAGTAGAGACGGGATTTCACCATATTGGCCAGCCTGGTCTTGAACTCCTGACCTTGTGATCCTCCCACCTTGGCCTCCCAAAGTGCTGGGGTTACAGGCTTGAGCCATCGCCTCCGGCCTGGTGTTTGCTTTTCTAATCTCACTTAATCCAAAGAGAGATTGCACAGCATTTAGACCTAGTCTTTGTCAATATTTTAAGCACACATTATTGTCCAATACATTAAATATCTTAGGGATTGATATTTAAAAGACATTATTTTCTAAATATGAAAGTGTATTATTAAATGAAGTGTGGTTATACAAATCAGGCATTCCGTCTGCTTTTTCCATTTGAGTATCATTGATCTGGAGACAGGAAAGAACTGGATATTTTTCAAGCAGTTCTCCTGAAATGTTATTACAACCGAGCTGTTGGGGCCGACGAGGATTTCAGAGAACTGCAAGTCTACAACCAGGTAAGGGCAACTCCAGAGCTTTAAACAGCCGGCCAGGCCCGGAAGCCTTCCAGGCTGAGGACTCTCAGCAGCAGGACTGGCCGCGTCGAGGAAAAACAAGAGGGGAAGAGATGGCCTCTGGGGGATGGAAGCCCCAAAGGGAAGAAAGACCTGGTTTCTGGCAAAGAAACCACATTGGCCAGGAGCTGTGGCTCACGCCTGTAATCCCAACACTTTGGGAGGCCAAGGTGGGAGGATTGCTTGAGCCCAGGAGTTTGAGACTAGCCTGTAAGACCACTTCCCCCAACTCTAAAAAGAAAAAATAAAAATTAGCCGGGTATTTGGGTCAACTTGTGATAGTTTACTTTGACTAGTGTGGTCTTAGTTGTAATTATTTCGGAGGCTTGGTGATACACGCCTGAGGCGAGAGGATCGCTTAAGCCCAGGAGGCTGCAAGTGAGCTGTGATAGCGCCACCGAACTCCAACCTGGGTGACAGGGCGAGACTCTGTTTCAAAAAAAAAAAAAAAAAGGGAAAACCAGATCAGCACTTGGGGTGCCCCTTCCCCTCAGCTTTAGCAAGATCCTGTGTTTTGATGCGGTAGGCAGGTGCGTGGTTCAGTCATGCCCAATGCTCAGACCACTCCTCACTTTTCACATCCAGGAGGAGGAGCTGTCAGGTTTGACCGCACTCAAGCAGCAAATGTAGTCCAGGGGACGGCTAGAGGTGAGGTCAGCCGCAAGACTGGCGTCACTGCGTGGGCCCAGCAAAAACCTGAGTCAGGAGGCGGCCAGGCAAGGTCAGTGGAGGGGGCGGGGCCCGAAGCGGAGGCGGAGCTTGGGAAAGCCTGGCGTGAGGGCGGGGCGGGGCCAGAGGTGGGCTGAGGCCGGATCAGGCGGTGGGGGCGGTCCCCGTAGCCCCGTGAGGCTCGCGCCTGCGCACGGGCCCGCGGCGGGGCGGGACTGCGCGTGCGCGGTGCGCCGGCCCTGGAGGGCGGAGTCCGGGCGGGCGCCGGCCGAGGGAGGGGGCGCGGCGGCTTTGGAGTCCGGCGCTCCCTCAGGCCGCGGACGCGATGCTGGTTGCTGCGGCTCGGGCGGCGGGGCTGGCGGGGATGTGACGGGCGGCCCTTCGTCTCACCTTCCGTCCTCGGGCCCGCAGGTCGCAGGGCGGCCTGCAGCTGGGCCGCGGCCGAGGAGGCAGCGCGACCTCCGCACGGTGAGATCCGGGCTCAGGGCCAGAGCCGGGGCCGGGGTCGCGGCGGGCGCCGGGGGCAGCCCAAGACCAGGCACGCAGTCCGGGGCGGGGCGGAGGCCCGAACTCCCGGGCTGAGGCGGTGTCGCCCTCCCGTACCCGGCCTCCAGGGTGAGCCTCTCTAGCCCCTCGCGAGCCGCCGGACGCGGGGCGGGCGCGGACCCGGGAGGCCGGAGGGCGCCCTCCCTGCGGCTGTGACAGCGCGGGGCCTCGGGCCGCGGGCGCCGCCGCCTTTCAGGAGAAATCAGGGCGAGGCTGAGGCACTCTGATTTCGGAGCCTGGTTGCGTGTGAGGGTGGATAGGGAAAGTACCGGGGCTCCCCGAATGAGTTCGATTTTTTTTTTCTTTCAATTACTGGGCTAAATGAAAGACACACCCTAAAACACATCCTGAGGTGAAACTTTGGTGGGGCACACCGTTGCCGTAGGTTCAGATCTTCTCTCTTGTCTTTAGACATGTATTTTCATACATTTTTAAATAATGCACCTACTTTCTTGATAAAGTAAAAGGAGGAATGAAGGGACTCCTTTGTGGTGGTCCTTGGTGGCGAAGCTTGTTTCCATTTCAGTAATTGCATATTCATCTGTGTGGGCTCCCCGACCAATGAGGCTGGCTGCTCCCAGACAAGGCCTTAGCGGAGTGGAAATGACTGACGCAGGGACTCTGGTCTCAGATTAGAGTGTTGGTAGCTCACTCCTGTAAGAGAGAAATTGAGCTTTAAGCTTTTTAAAATAGCCATATGAAAAGCATTCCTTTTCTCCTGAGCATTAAAATATGACGGAACCTATTCATTTGGCCAGTTGTTTTTTTTAAAGCATCATCTTTTAGACTAGAGACTTTAGAGATGGCAGCTGCTCTTTAACCAAAAGGAACTTAAGATGCTCTCCTGCAAAAGATGGGTTCAAAACATGTCTTATCCGTCATCCATATGTGATAAAAATGTAAATATTCCTGAGTGTTTGCCTGAAATCAGTCTTCTTCCTCTTGGACTTTATTACTGTTTCTCTTAATTTATGAAAGCTTGTTACTGTTATTTTTTGTTTTCGTTTGTGTTCTAAACAACATTGGCTTCAAATAATCTTCAGGTTAAAAATGCACACTTTGTTGAACCCTTTAGCCATAATTCATACTGTCGTACTTCAGCATAAGCCATAGTTAAGAAAGCACTAGAAGCCATCCTGAAAGCAAGCCGAAAGTCTCTATTAAGAATTCTGTAAAAATTCTACCTTTCCACATTCAGACCTGCATTTTTTGTTGCTTTGACTCAACTCCTTTGACTATTTTGGAGGAAGGGACTTTGAATCCATATTTACAAGTCCTTCAGTGACTCTCCATAGTCTATATCGATAAAATTCAAAGTCCTTCATGATTAGCGGTATTTGTCTCCATTCTAGTGTCATCTTCTACCATTATGCCTGCCCTCTCTATATAAGACTGTTGCAGTTCTCTGAAGATGACATCTTCCTCTGTGGTTTTTCAGTGTTCTTTGTTGAGAATTCTCTACCTAGTAAACAACTTGCCCTTGAAGACCTTACGAAAGTAGCACTTCTGAGGCTTGTCTAGACATTTCATCCCTCTTGTCTTAACTGATTCGTACACTCTCCAGTTAGTATTTGTCAACTGGTAGTTAATGATTTGTTTATGTGTCTGTCTCCACCAGGTTTTGGGGTTTCTTTTGTGTTTTTTGAGACAGAGTCTTGCACTGTGGCCTGGGCTGGAGTGCAATGGCCTCATCTCGGCTCACTGCAACTTCTGCTTCCTGGGTTCATGCGATTCTCTTGCCTCAGCCTCCTGAGTAGCTGGAATTATAGGCACACACCACCACACCTGGCTAATTTTTTTTTAGTAGAGACGGGTTTCAGTATGTTGGCCAGACTGGTCTCAAACTCCTGACCTCGTGATCCGCCCACCTCGGCCTCCCAAAGTGCTGGGATTGTAGGCTGGTTAGGAATGAAACCCCAGTTATGTTAAAAAAAATCCATTTTATGATACAGGAATAAAAAGGGCATGACCAATAAAGATTGCTGCTTCATTGGTCCTACAACTTTATTTTGAGGCGCAAAGTCACGCAGGTAGAAAGGGATGGCGGGGATTACAGTCCAGGTCTTTTGACCATCTGTGTATTTCACTTTTGCCCCCAGTCTCCTAATTCTAAATCTTAATTGTTTTACAATTTGAATGGGAGTTGTGAGCGACTTGGATGTGTTCTGAAAAAAGGGTCAATAGAATATTGAACTTGAAAGAATTAACAGATTATTTGGTTCAACTTTAAAAATTTTACGGTTAAACAACTCAGCCTAAAAAGACAACTTGTTTGAGATTGCTTAGGCTCACCTACATCTCATATCTCCTGACCTCATCATTGTGTGTTTTTCACTACTCCATGGTGCTTTGGGGTGAAATGAAGGAGCTGCCAGTTTTTCAGAGGGAGTGCAAATCTGCTTGCACTTTCTCCCTCTTTGAATACATGGCTGCCACTCCTAGGGACTTAGAACCCTTGTGGCTGAGAAACATGATAATTCATTTGGGGATATGGGAGAAACCTAACCTTCACTATTCCTCTCAGCCAGATAGTTTTAACTTCAGTGCTTGGGGCGCTCTCTCCAGATGCCCCATAACAAGTGGCTTCTGATCACCATATGGACATCTCACATACAGTTAAGTTTTGATGGTACAATGAGATTTTAATATAAGAAGGTTGCAGCTGGCTAATAGCATGGCTAAAATTACTTGTGTGGCTTGTCTGTGAGAGGAGCCTATCTTACTCCTATGTGATAGGATTTTGGGGGAAAAAATTGATGATTGTGGCTGTCTCTAAAAAGTTGAAATGTGTACTTAGTGGTGTGGGCCTGACCAATTCCAAAAGGCTTTTTATCTTACAAACAATGGTCAAAGAAATTTTAAAAATCAAAACAAACTTAATTTTTCTTCTTATTTCTTGTCATATCAGTGGTTTTATATGATAAAGCATACACATAATGCTTAATATTTGCTTTCATATTTGATGTTTTATTTTTGCTATAGTTTTTATACCTTTAGATGATTATACAGTGTTACAATGTCATTTCTTAATAATTGGACATCTAGATTGTTTACTATTTTGCAGATAATGCCGTTAGTATATAGCTGTTTATCATTTTGCTTCTTCCCTTTGGGCTAAAGGCCCAGGAGCAGTATTACAAAGTCAGAGGGTATGAAGGTTTTGTTAATTCTGAAAAATATTACTAGATTTACTTCTAAAAGATATTGATTTACAGACTCCAGTAGAGTTTGGTTGACCATTTCTATCATACTTTATAGGTTTTTGCTTTTAAAAGTTTGTTTTTTAAAAATGAGGATAAGGTTCCTTGCAGTTTAACATCATAGTCCATAATAGACAAGCAAATGCAGTATTCTTCTAGTTTTATTTTCTCCTTTATTTGTCCATCGTCCATAAATTTATTGGAATCTTCTCACCAATTTTCATTAGCACTAACATCATAAATATATTAATCTCTTGAAAAACATTTCTGATCTATTTTTTCTTATTGTAGGCTTTATAGATTTTATATTATTAAATTTATTTTTTTATATATATATATATATATATATATTTTTTTTTTTTTTTTTTTTTGAGACAGAGTCTTGCTCTGTTGCCAGGCTGGAGTGCAGCGGTGCCATCTCGGCTCACTGCAACCTCTGCCTCCTGGGTTCAAGCGATTCTCTTGCCTCAGCCTCCCCAGTAGCTGGGACTACAGGCACGCGCCACCACGCCTGCCTAATTTTTGTATTTTTAATAGAGATGGGGTAATCCCTATATTATATATTTTTTTAAAAAATCAGTGTGGCTGGGTGTGGTGGATCACACCTGTAATCTCAGCACTTTGGGAGGGTGAGGCGGGAGAATCGCTTGAGCCTAGGAGTTCAAGACCAGCCTGGGCTGTTAACATAGTGAGACCCCCATCTCTATTTTAAAGAAAAAAGATAAAAGAAAAAAGTCAGTGATTTTTGTCCTTTGATTGTGTTTTTTGAGAATGAATGCCATGTACCTGTTTGATGCATACTTTTATTTTCTTAAGCTTCTAGAATTCATTTTGTTATGTATATATATTTGGAAAGTTAATATACAACTGAGATAAAATTTCATTTATGTGTATTTTATATTATAGAAAACTACATTATTATGTTTTCATTCTTTTTTCTGAACTTAAATAGGAAAACAAAATAACCTAACTTTAATACAAATGTGTACTTGTTTTTTAATAAATTATGGTAAGTTTTAGTTAAACTAACATTTTTATGACAGCAATATATTGGTTAATTGAAATTTTTGTCTGTTCAAGATTAACCAGAGGGTTGTCTTTAACTCTTATTGCTAATCATTCTAAAATATATGAAAGGAAACCTTAGTAATCTGCTCCCACTGGGGAGCAGGTTACTCCCATTCTAGATAGATGAGACATCCCAGGATAATAGTTAACATTGAGTGCTGGGTGTTTTGCTGGTTCTTGGCATGGAGTTTCTTACCTAATCTTCACAGCAACCCTAGGAGGTAGGTTCTTTTAGTATCCTCATTTTGTGGATATGAAAATATAGAGACTGTGACCTGCCAAGGATAACATAGGTAGTAAGCATTGGAACTGGAACTCAGTCAGCCTGCTTTTAAAAGATGCTATTTCAAAAGTATTATCTTATTATCCATGCCAAGGATTTGGACTTCATTTCTTAGACATTGGAAAGATTAGGTGTTGCAAAGCAAGGGGATGATATGGTATGTTATCTCTTTTAGGGAGATTGCTCATGTGACAATGTGGCTATATATTGAATTATGTTTATAATAGGAAGTGGTTGAAATATTCATGTGAGAAATGAAGGCTAAACCTTGAGGTGGAAGTGGAGATCGGGATATTTTGGAAATATATAGGAATTAGTAACTGATACACAACAGAGTGGGAAGGCAGTGTATTGATTTGGAAGACATTGAGTGGGGTAATGACAGATGAATATGTGCTCACAGCACTTTGTTATATTTCTTTCACAGCGTTGACTGTGATGTATTGTACCTATTCTAGTAACATATCTGTCTCCCCCACTGGATTGTGTGCTTGTCAAAGATAGGGACTGAGTAGAGGAATGAGTGAATATAGGATGAAATAATACAGAAAGGTCAAGAGACTGAACTGGGAAACACCAAATTACCAAAATGAAAGAGTGGGTGGAGGAAGAGTAGCTCTAGAATGTGACAGCTGTCAGGGAGGATGGGGGAAGAGCCATCAGGGAGGAGGCAGAGGGGTAGGGAAGTATTAGCACAGACATGAGCATGTAGAATGCTGCCACCTCAGGCTACAAACAGTTGTGGTTGGTGTGCCCTGCTGTCATAAGCTGATTGTGGTTGTATAGGGTGAACTTGTCTTTCCGTTGTTATTGACTACTTAAGTTTTCTCTGAGTATCTGATGGCTTTCTGCCTCTTTGGCTTCTGACTTCTGCTTGCTACAGGTGCTGATGCTGGGGTGTGATTCAGCCTATTGAGATCAACCAATGAGAACAGTCCTTTCTTTTTAAGTGAATTGACCAATCATAGTATGTGAGATGTAATTTCTGAGTTTTTAGCTCTTCTCTGATGAGTTGATTGGTTTGGAATGTCCTAGAGTTACTTCTCTACCTTTAAAGACTTCTGGTTGATTATATTAAGGTTTGGAGCCATTGGGAAGCCAGAGGATTCTTAAAGGTTGGATCCATGAGCACTGAAGTTTTTTACCTGTTTATTTTTTCAAGTTGATCAGTAGCTTAGTTTCAGTATAGTTGGATCATCTTTGAAGACTGTTGGTCTTAAAAATGCCACAGATTATTCCAAATAATTAAGAATCTCTGTTTTCTTTGTACTTTATAGCTACGTAAGACAGGGGCTTGTTTTAAATTTTCTTGGTCAGCTCCTAACTTACTTCATATGTCTGTTTTTCAAAGAGTTACTTGGTAAAGGAATTTGCTATTGATTTTTTTCTACAACCATTTGCTTCAGGCCATCCTTACCCTCTGTTCTCTGCCTTCTCCTGTTTTCATCTACCCTGTTTCTGTCCTTGATAAGGACAGTGGGAAAGGGAAAAGAGAAAAAGCATGAGGGATTACTCCTTCCTTCCCTTTGTTATGGTAGTTGTTACTGCTCTCCTCCCTGCCATCGCTGCTCCCAGCTGTTCACTTTGGCATGGTCTCCTACCCTGTATCTTGAGTTCTGTGTGTGAGAATAGAAATGCAAGGCATGGCTCTTTAGCTGAGGAACGATGGGCATCTCAGGGTTTTGGTCCTTCTGTGATCTCTCTTTTGGTGCCTGGTATTGAAAAGCCCAGTGACATCTTGTATCTGAGCAAGTGTTTTCTGTTCCCCAGCATTCTACTTCTCTCTCTCTCTTTTTTTTTTTTTTTTTTTTTTTGAGACAGGGTCTCTGGACCCAGGCTGGAGTGCAGTGGTGTCATCATGGCTCACTGCAGCCTTGACCTCCTGGGCTCTAGCTATCCTCCTGCCTTGGCTTCCCAACCTGTACTCAACCTGTAGCTGGGACTACAGGCATGTACCACCATGCCTGGCTAATTTTAAAAATTTTCCATAGAGACAGGGTCTCCCCATGTTACCCAGGCTGGGCTGAAACTCCTGGGCTCAAATGACCCTCCTGCTTTTACCTCCCAAAGTGCTGGGATTACAGGTGTGAGCCACCACAACTGGCCCTGCTTTTCTTTAAAATGCAAAATTAAATTCCAGTCCTGTTTTTTTGAGTTGCCTACCCTCCTCCCCAACACTGCCCCCATGTCAAGATTGCAAAACCTTTGATGACGAAGGCCCTAGTGAATACGCTAGGGACAAAGAAGCAAGACAGATACCAGAAGGTACTTTGAATTGTTGTTGTCATCATATTAATGATATTTCGTTGCAGCCTGAGTGCTTTAGGGCAATTTGAGAGCTTTCTCTGACCATTATCTCTTGGCAGCCAGTGTTAGGGTTGGGAGTTATATAATAATTTTCTCTGAAGATCTTAGCTTAGAAAAACAGGGACTATTCATAATAGCTATTTAAGTCTGTAGAATGGACTTGATGATATTTTGGTCAGAGTTGGTAGGCCACTTTATAGGAAACATCCAGGTGATATTTCTTTTCGGGGTGGGGAGGCAGGGATGGCCATCTTTCTGTTTTGTTTTGTTTCTTTTCCTTATTTAAAATTTTTTCTCAGGTATATTTTCCTCATTTTAGGAGTAGTATGGTATGGCTTGTCAACCTTTATTTATTATTGGTACTAGCTAGAGATGTAGACTTGGCCATTGTTGTGGCCTTTCTTGCAGTCATGTTTTTCCAGGACTTGAGATGTTTTACATTCTAAATTCCTTCAATCCTGGCTTAGAGAATAGATTCTCAGTCTGGATTTTTCTCATTCATTCATTCAAGAAATGTATTCCGAGCACTTGCTAGGAATAGTTCAGTCAACAAAACAAATTTTCTGCCTTTGTGGAGCTTACATTCTAATGACAAGATACAGAAAATAAGTATATGTGTAATATGTCATCTATTACATTGCTGTGGAGAAAAAGCAGGAAGAGGTGAAAAGAACATGTGAGGGTGATGCTGCTGTTTTATCTAAGGTGGTTAGGGAAGGCTGTAATAAAAACTAGTATTTGAACAGAGATCTTGAAGAAAGAATGTGATCTATGCAGATATTAGGAGAGAGAGAGTACTTGATGAAGATAGAACTGGAATACAAAGATCCTGTGGCTGAAGCTTGCTTGACCTGTTCTAGGAGTGGCAAGTAGGCCAGTGCAGGCATTGAGGGGAAATGATTGGTAGATGAGGTCAGAGAGGTGGGTTGGGTTGGGGGGATATGCCTGATCATATATGGCATTGTAGGCCAGTGAGACTGGCTTTTAAAAGGTGGGGAGCCACCAGAGTTTTGACTTGTTATAAGTAGAACTCTCAGCTGCTATGTAGGGGTGGCGCATAATGAGATTATTTAGCAGGCGCAGCAGTAATCCTAAGTGGGAGATGATGATTTTAGGCAGGGATTGGGAGAAGTGCCCACATTTTGTATACATTTTGAAGCCAGAGCCAACAATTTAATGATGGATTGAATGTGGGCTGAGTTTGGCCTGAAAAACTGGACAAATGGAGTTAACATTTCCTGAGATGGGTAAGAGCGCAGAAGAAGCAGGGTTTTAGCGGGGGAAGTAACGAGTTCAGTTTTGGACATTTTAAGTTAGTAATCTGAGTGGAGATATGGTGAAGAGAGCTGGGTATGCACAAGTCTGCAGTTCACAGCAGAGGTCTGGGTTAGAGATATATAAATTTGCAGTTATTAGCAGAGAGATAGTATGTAATGCCTCGAGAATGGATTAAAATAATTTAGGGAGTGAATGTGGCTGGAGAAGTCCCACAAGTTAGCCTTGGGATCCTGTAATGTTTTCAGAGGGAGAGAAACTAGCAGAGGAGACCAAGAAGCCGCACGCCTATAAAGAAGGAAGAGAATTAAGACTGAGTTGTATCAGTGAAGCCAAGTGAAATGTTGTAAGAAGGAGCGAGTGAGTAATCAGCTGTGTCAGATGCTATTAGATTGAGGACTAAGATAAAGCAATATGAAAATCATTGGTGACCTTAACAAGTTGTTTCTGGTTTAGTGGTGGAAGTGAAGACTTGATTGGAGTGGGCTTAAGAGAGAATTGGAGGAAAGGAATTGTAGACTGCTGGGATAGACAGTTTCTTCAAGGAGTATGCTGTAAAGTAAAGCTAAATAACAGGGTGGTAGCTGGAGGGGATGTCCAGTCAAGGAATTGTTTTTTAAAAGATGGATGCTCTTCTTTTTTTGTATTCTTATTTACATACTGTAAACCAAAAAGTATCTGAGACAGGTCTCAATCAATTTAGAAGTTTATTTTGCCAAGGTTAAGGATGCATGCCAGGGAGACAAGTCTGTCTTTCTCCAAAGATGATTTTGAGGGCTTCGGTATTTAAATGGAAAAAGCAGGCTGGAGGGGCAGGAGAGAGGGTATTATCACATTACTGAATCCACATGTTGCGAAGGAAAAGGAGCAGGTAGGGGAATAGTTGGTTATGTATTTGTTAAGGTGAACACTGAGTAGTTACCCGTGGACACATTTAACTTTTTATCTGTAGCTATCAGCTTAGAAACAAAAGGAGAGGGGGCTGGGCACGGTGGCTCAGCCTGTAATCTCAGTACTTTGGGAGGCTGAGGCAGTTGGATCACCTGAGGTCAGGAGTTCGAGACCAGCATGACCAACATGGTGAAACCCCATCTCTACTAAAATACAGAATTAGCCGGGCATGGTGGTGCATGCCTGTAATCCCAGCTACTTGGGAAGCTGAGTTGAGGCAGGAGAATTGCTTGAACCCGGGAGGCAGAGGTTGCAGTGAGCCGAGATCACGTCATTGCACTCCAGCCTGGGCAACAAGACAGAAACTCCAAAGAAAAACTTAAAAAAAAAAAAAACAAAAAAAAACCCCAAAAACAACAAACCAAAAAAACCCCAACAAAAAACAAAAGGAAAAGCAGCTTCTTTTGTGACTCAGCTTCCAGCTTACTTTTTTTTCTTTTGGCATAGTGAAATTAGGGTCCCAAGTTTTTACTTTCACAATACAAATATATGTAGTTAACAAAATGTTTCAACAGAGAAAAAAAATGCAGGATCTACGTCGTTGAAACGTAAATGAAATTAACTTTATCCTCATCTGTGCACTCAAGGTCCATCATCATCATCATGATGGACTGTACTGCAGTTTTGTGCAGTGCTTGCCTTGTAGTAGCTTCAAAATTTTGATTTAGCAACCTATTTGTTATGGTAGTTTTACCTTTTTAAAAATAAAAGTTAAATTGCAGAACAAATGAGCAACTTTTCCAGGGAAATTTTGACAGCTACTCTTCTCTACCACCCCTTTTTTTCCTAATGTACCTGATCTCATTTTACTGTAACTGCTTATGATTATTGAGTTGATGTTTGAGATGAATTCAGAAACTGTGTTGAAAGCACATATTACAGTTATAGCACTTTATATGCCTCTTTTCGTGGTTCATTTATGTTTAAGTAAATAGTAGTCAATATTTAGTGTTGGAGCATCATTACAGTTGCTTCTTAACCCTCTTCATTGGTCTTTCTCCAGATTTTCTTCCCTTAGCCACTGATCCATGCCCCAAGTTTTGGATTTCCGAAACACAGATCTGACCAGGTTCTGTTTTTGCTAAAAAAAAATCTTCTGTGGCTCCCTATTCTCTACAGAAGTTAATTTTTTCTTTTCTTTTCTTTTTTTTTTGTTTTTTTTTTTGCCTGTTTACCTACCTTTTGCCTGCACATGCTTTAGGGGATCTGGAGTGCTCCCTAGGGTGTCTTGCTGTGTTGGCCAGGCTGGTCTTGAACTCCTAGTGTCAAGCAATTTTCCCACCTTGGCCTCCCAAAGTGCTGGAATTATAGGCGTGAGCCACTGTGCCCAGCCTCTCCAGGGGATTCTAATGCACATGTGATGTTTCTTACCATAGGACTACAGAGTAAAGATCAGATTTTTTATTAGCATACAGATAGTACTCCAAGAGGAGATTCCATGAAAATGAGAAATGCTTTGACATCTCTCTGCTTTTGCACATACTATTACTTTTTTTTTTTTTAAATTTATTTTTTATTTTTTGAGACGGAGTTTTACTCTTGTTGCCCAGGCTGGAGTGCAATGGCGTGATCTTGGCTCACCGCAACCTCTGTCTCCCGGGTTCAAGTGATTATCCTGCCTCAGCCTCCCAAGTAGCTGGGATTACAGGCATGCGCCACCACGCCTGGCTGGTTTTGTATTTTTAGTAGAGACGAGGTTTCTCCATGTTGGTCAGGCTGGTCTCGAACTCCCAACCTCAGGTGATATGCCCGCCTTGGCCTCCCAAAGTGCTGGGATTACAGGCATGAGCTACCGTGCCTGGCCACTATTTCTTTTTTTGTAGAATACCATTCATCTTCTCAGCCTTCTCATTAAATCACTTTATCTTTTTTATTTTTTTATTTTTTTGAGACGGAGTTTCACTCTTGTCGCCCAGTCTGGAGTGCAAAGGCACAATCTCTGCTCACAGCAGCCTCCGCCTCCCAGGTTCAAGCAATTCTCCTGACTCAGCTTCCCGAGTAGCTGGGATTACAGGTGCATGCCACCACGCCCGGCTAATTTTTTATATTTTTAGCAGAGGCGGGGTTTCACTATGTTGGCCAGGCTGGTCTTGAATTCCTGACCTCAGGTGATCCTCCTGCCTCGGCCTCCCAAAGTGCTGGGATTACAGGTGTGAGCCACTGCACCTGGCCATCACTTTATCTTTTTAAGAGCCCAACATAGATGCCTCTTCTTCCAGGAAAGCTGCTAGACATATGTTCATTATGCCTCTTCCATCTGTCCTTCATTATATTCTGTTACTTGTGTTCCTGTTAACATTATGAGGTTTTTTTGTTATAGTATTTGCTGTATTTTACTGTTTGTTTTCGTGACAGGTTGCTCTCTTGCCCCCACTTATAGACACTCAATAAATTTTTTGTTGAATGAATGAGTAAAGCAAATAATTATCCAATGTTGACCCAGTTTTGATTGACCCATTTGGTTGGGAATTTACGCCATTCAATTTGTACAGAATATACATAAGCAATTCGAATAGTGTTCTTAAACACAGTCATATCCTAAAGTCTTAGGAAATTCATATTTATTAAATATTTCTTTTCATGAGCAAATAATGAGACTTGTTGATGATTTATTTTCTATCCCATATCTCTATTTTTGTCTGAATTTTTTTCCTTCTCTGGTTTTTTTTTTTCCTCTTTGACGTCTCTATTTGGATGTTGACCTTAACCATCCTCTTACCCTGACACTCATCCCCTAAACTTGATCCCCCTCTTGGCTTCTCCATTAGTGTTTTCTCTGTCACCATCTTACAAGTTATTTAGGTTTCTCTGTAGTATCTGTAGGTCTTACTTCTACATCTGATGAGTTACTGAGTTCAACAAACGTTTTTTGGCCACTTCCTGTGTTCCCGACTTGTTAGTGTTAGTAATAAGAGGCTGAACAAGAGAAGGTCCGAGTCCACAAATGATTATGATACAATGTGATAAGTATGGTAATACAGTAATAGTGGAATATTTAGGGCACTATTAGAAGATAGGAAAGAAAAACAGTGTTTTTCCTACTCTCATGTACCACTCAATGTAACACTTTTTTTTTTTTTTTTTTTTTGAGACAGTGTCTTGTTCTGTCACCCAGGCTGGCGTGCAGTGGCTTGATTATAGGTCACTGTAGCCTTAACCTCCTGGACTCAAGTGATGTGCCCTCCCGAGTAGCTGGGACTACAAGCGTGTGCCACCATGCCCAGCTAATTTTTAAACATTTTTATGTAGAGGTGGGGTTTTGCCAAGTTGCCCAGGCTTGTCTCAAACTCCTGGCCTCTAGGATCTTCCCACCTTGGCCTCCCAAAGTGTTAGAATTACAGGCACAAGCCACTGCACCTGGCCTTTGTAACTCTTTTTTTTTTTTTTTTTTTTTTTTAGAGGCGGAGTTTTGCTATCTTGCCTGGGCTGGTCTCAAACTCCTAGCCTCAAGTGATCCTTCTGCTTCGACCTCTCAAAGTGCTGGGATTACAAGAGTGAGCCACATAGCACTTGGCCACACAGCACCTCTTACACTAAATGTATGGAGATTGTTTTGCTGGACACCAAGCAATTCTGACACCATAGACTCCAGTGAAGAACAGCTGGTTGCCCTATGATTTAGTTCCAATCTAACACTGTCTACCTGTAGATAGTGTTAAATGCTGTAGGATAAGGTCTCAGTCCCACAAGATGGCGCCATCCCCCCCACCACTTCAGATGCATGCTCCAGGTTGTGACCTGTGTCTATGACCAGCCATAAATTGGGGTTCCCATGACCCCCTTCTTGGGTTCAGTTAATTTGCTAGAGCAGCTCATAGAACTTAGGGAAACACTTCACTTATGTTTGCCCATTTATTAAACAGCATATTTTAAGAAATATAGATGAACAGCCAGATGGAAGAGATGAATAGGGTAGGTCATGGAAAGGGGCATGGAGCTTCTCTGTCCTCTCTGGGTGTACCACTCTCCAGATATCTCCACGTATTCAGCTCTCTGAACCCTGTCCTTTTGGCCTTTTGTGGAGGTTTTATTACATAGGTATGATTGATTACATCATTGGCCATTGGTGATCAACTCAGCCTTCAGTCCCCTTCCCCCCCCTGGAGGTTGGGGGATGGGGCTGAAAAGTCCCAACCTGTACTCATGCTCTGGTCTTTCTGGTAACCAGCTTCCATCCTGAGGTTAACTAGGGCTCCCCAGCTAGCAGTCCTCATTAGCATACAAAAGACACTCATCACTCTGGAGATTCCATGGGTTTTAGGAGCTATGTGTCAGGAACCAGGGGCAGAGACCAAATGTGTATGGGATATGATATCATATCACAGTATCACAGGCAGCCTGGGAATAAAGAATATCTCTGTCACATATTCCTTATTTTTTACTTTGGCTACTGCCAATCTCTTTCGGGTCCTCATTACTGTTTAGATAATTGTAAGACCTTTTAGTAGCTACTCCTGCCTTAACTCTTGTCATTCCAGTTCCTCATGTACCCTGTCATGTACCCTGTCATCCAATTTTCTCAGACATTTTGAGAAAATTGTCTTAAAAAGGGGGAAAAAAATGTTACATGCCTTTCCTTCTCCTGTTCACAGAATAAACTCCAAAAATAAAATCTAGAATTCAAAGCCCTTGACTCAGACTTCCTTTTCTTGTCTTCTGCTACATGAACCTTTCATGCAGCAAAACCTTCTACATTCTGTTCCAAACACACTTCACACATTCTTTTTTTTTGCGTTGTGTACTACTCATTCCCCCGCAACATTTTACTTTTGCTTCCTCTGTTCACAGAAACTGTATCTATCTGTTGACATAGTTCTTAATTGTTAAATCCACTGTGAACCTTAGACCATCATGCCCATGTTCTTGAACTTTCTTTGCCTTCCAAAGCATCGTTCTCCTGTTTCTCTTTCTCTTTCTTTTTTCTTTTGAGATGGAGTCTCGCTCTGTCGCCCAGTGCAGTGGTGTGATCTCTGCTCACTGCAACCTCTGCCTCCCGGGTTCAAGCAATTCTCCTGCTTCAGCCTCCCAAGTAGCTAGGATAACAGGCACCTGCCACTACACTCAGCTTATTTTTGTATTTTTAGTAGAGTCCGGGGTTTACCATGTTGGCCAGGCTGGTCTCGAACTCCTAACCTCAAACGGCCCCCTTGGCCTCCCAAAGTGGTGGGATTACAGGTGTAAGCCATTATGCCTGGCCCTGTTTCTTGTTCATACCTATTCTTTTCCAGCTGTCTTTACTGTCTCTTGTTCATGTAGTCAGCTAATTTTCCCATCTTAGTTAATGATACTGCCAGTCATTCAGGTGCCCAAAGTATAAACCTGGGAGTAGTCCAGACTTCTCTTATCTCTCATTTTCCATTTGTTGTCAAGTCTTTGTGAGGTATCTCTTCTCTCTTCATTGTCTTTACTGTTTCCTTGGGCTAGGTCTAATATCTAGAGTAGACCACTATAAGAAGCCCCGTCAGTGTAAGTACTCTACCTGGTCCTGGGTATTATACAAAACAAGTATTCAGGAAATGCATTTTGGTTATAGCCAGTAGGAACGCCAAACACAAAATATAGTTTTGAGTTGACCACCCTAGAATAGTGCTTAAACCATGGACTGATTATTCTGTATCCATTAAAGGTCGATTTCCTAAATATCTCAATTAGATGATGTTGTTATGAAGTAATTTTTACTTTTTACAAAAAATTTACTTAAGGCTTAAGAAGATGATGTGTTAGTATTACAGGGAAAAGGCAAGAAAAGTTGTATGGAAACGGCTCTGGCTGGGATATGTGCCAGAAAGGATCTTGTAGACATTTTATTAATGGGCTAGAAAAGAGATTAAAAGTTTGCAGGTAACGTTTGGTGCTTATTTATCCACATGACAGTAAAAGAGCAGTTAACTACAGGAAGATCTTGAGACTGGAATAGACAAAATTTGAGTATTAGTGTGTGGAATTGTAACCTAATGTATTTGACTAGTACTGTGAAGATGCTGTTTAATTGTCAGTTAATACCCAGGAGAAGCTCCTGATATCAATGTGTCATGTTCCTGGAAGATACTGGCATAATATGCTGATGCTTGAGATGTGGTAACTTAATCACTGTACCTCTGCATCATTTAATATGTTTCATAAGCACAAGCTGTTTAGTATTGAAGAATTATTTTTTGACCCCAGACATAGTCATAGAAGAGCCCTTTAGTCTCTTGAAATTTTTTTTGGTTTGCTAATAGTAGATCTTAGATAGGATTTGTCTTATTTGTGCCGTCAAAGAAAAGTCCAGATTTGCAGTATTTTCTACTTTAAAACTTAAGATTCTCTCATTCTAAATGTATTTTGCACATATTTCAAAATATCTGAATTTATATTTTGTGAATATTTTACAAAAGTATTAAAGGTTTTTTTTTTGTTAGTTTTTGCTGTTGCTTTATTTTTTTCTTTTTTAATGTTATCTTTTGAATATATGTTTCTTTATTGTTGATCTTTATTTACCTCTGATGAATTTAGGGGTTTATGAGGCTGGCATTAGATTGTCACATGGACATTACCTTGGAAAATCTATTTGAGTACTCTGTATTATAGCATTTTGAAGTTGATAGTGGGATGTATGTATCATTTTGGCTTATGTTATTCTGTCCAGAGGATTTTCCCTAGGGAAGGTGGGAAAGAAAGGAAGAATGCTTTGGAGAGAATTCCCACGGTGGACAAGTGGCATTTTGAGTCAAGGGAGTAGTGTGCACTTTGGTAAGGAGTCCTGAAAGAGCATCTTATGATTACAGATCTTGAGGTGGTTTGGTGTGGTTGGAAGGCAGGGTTTGTTGGTTAGTGGTGAGAGGGAGCAGCTGTAAAGGAATACCAAAGCCGCAATTCGAAGGCTTGGGTAATTTTAGCTGCACGCACTCACTAGCTATGTGTCTATATGTGATTTCCCTAAGTTTCAATTTCCTTAAATGTGCAAAATGAGAATAATAAAAATATCTACACTGTAGGATTGTGAGGTTTAAATTAGGTAACATTTGTACCTGGCACACAAGTACTTAATAAATATCAGCTGCTGTTTTTAGGTATTTGTACTTCAGAGAGTTATTGAAGGATTTTAAAATTGAAGAGTGATATGATCGGAATTAGAATTTTGAATACTAATCTCAGGAAAAGTGTAAAAAATGGATTGAAGGGGAAGAAACTGAAGGCGGAAAATTAAGTAGGCCTGTGCTAGAATACTAGCTAGTAAGATTCTAGATTAAGAAATGAGGAGAGGACAGGACGGGTTTGAGAACTATTGCAAATTATCACGTGCATTATATTCCATGAGTTGGGGAGATCTTAAGGGAACTAGGAGAATTGACAGCAAGAATATGGACAGGATACCTAGCTGAGTAAGAAACATTGTATTTTCCTCCTCTTAATACAACTCAGAAACATACTTTAAAAGCATTTAGTATTTTGACATTTGGTACTGGGACATTTTGAATGTTACCATCTAATCATTTTGGATAAAGATACATGTCTATTTACACAGTTTTGTTTTTGGAGTACTTTATGTACATTCTTGTTGAGTACTCTTCTATTTGGCAAGTTTCGTTGTGGCATTTGAAAAACTGCCCTTTCCCAGTAAAATGATTAGATTTTAATTTGTTTACTCAGTTGAATGTTCTTACCTTACATAATTTTACTTAGATTATTTTATAATAGAGAACAAAGGTCTAGATTATGACATGTTTTCTTGTCACTGAAGTGTTCCTTACGTTGTATTGACCAATTGAACTGTGGGTTAAATATAATGTACTTTAATTTTAAGGTGTGGTTGAGACTCAGGCCCAAGATATTTTACTTTTTATTAATCATATTTTATAAAATTATAATGATAATTATTGAAGTAAACAAGATTTTGGGATTGTGTATAAGGTCATAGGCATTTTCACTTGTTTGTCAGCAACCCCTAGAAGTTATGTCTCCTTTGCTATTGAATTAGAGTAAGACTTTCTACATACTGCTGTATCCAAGGGCAAAAAAAGTAATGTTTAGTAGAGCTGCAATCATAAGAAAGATTTTTCAGTGATATTTATTTCTTCACCCAATAGCTTTTATTAAGTGTCTTTTTATGTATTAGAATAATCTTTTTTGAGACGGAGTTTCACTCTTGTTGCCCAGGCTAGAGTGCAGTGGCGCAATCTCGGCTCACCGCAACCTCTGCCTCCCGGGTTCAAGCGATTCTTCTGCCTCAGCCTCCCGAGTAGCTGGGATTACAGGCATGCACCACCTCGCCTGGCTAATTTTGTACTTTTAGTAGAGACGGGGTTTCTCTATGTTGGTCAGGCTGGTCTTGAATTCCCGACCTCAGGTGATCCGCCTACCTTGGCCTCCCAAAGTGCTGGGATTACAGGCGTGAGCCACCGCACCCAGCCATGTATTAGAATAATCTTTAGGAATTAAAAAAAAAAAAACTAAATATTTTGTGCTGCTTGTCTTCAAGGAGGTCTCAGTCTAGTGGAGAAAGTAGAACACAGGAAAACATGATTTTAAAAATAAAATAGTGTAATAATTGCTATACCTAGGGATACCCAGCTAAACCATGGGCATATGTAGGAGGAACATCTAATCTGCAGATATCACATGATCATGCTAATTTGGTAGATTTATTGCTATATATTACATGAGAAGAGTAGATCCAGAACTGAAAGGAGTCTATCATCCAGCCATCTGTTACAGATCAGGACATAGTACATTTCAGAGAGCACATGCTACTTCATGGGAGATGGAAGATTGCAAGAAGCCTCTTGGCAATCCTCATTTCTTTTTTTTTATATATATATATATATTTATTTATTTATTTGTTTATTTTATTGATCATTCTTGGGTGTTTCTCGCAGAGGGGGATTTGGCAGGGTCATAGGACAATAGTGGAGGGAAGGTCAGCAGATAAACAAGTGAACAAAGGTCTCTGGTTTTCCTAGGCAGAGGACCCTGTGGCCTTCCGCAGTGTTTGTGTCCCTGGGTACTTGAGATTAGGGAGTGGTGATGACTCTTAGCGAGCATGCTGCCTTCAAGCATCTGTTTAACAAAGCACATCTTGCACCGCCCTTAATCCATTTAACCCTGAGTGGACACAGCACATGTTTCAGAGGGCACATGGTTGCGGGTAAGGTCATAGATCAACAGCATCCCAAGGCAGAATAATTTTTCTTAGTACAGAACAAAATGAAGTCTCCCATGTCTACTTCCTTCCACACAGACACAGCAACAATCTGATTTCTCTAACTTTTCCCCACCTTTCCCCCTTTTCTATTTGACAAAACCATCGTCATCATGGCCTGTTCTCAATGAGCTGTTGGGTACACCTCCTAGACGGGGTGGTGGCCAGGCACAGGGGCTCCTCACTTCCCAGAAGGGGCGGCCGGGCAGAGGTGCCCCCCCACCTCCCGGACGGGGCGGCTGGCCGGGGAGGGGGGGTGCTGACCCCCCACCTCCCTCCCGGACGGGTCGGCTGGCCGGGCGGGGGCTGACCCCCCACCTCCCTCCCGGACTGGGTGGCTGGCCGGGTGGGGGCTGACCCCCCACCTCCCTCCCGGACGGGGCGGCTGGCCGGGCGGGGGCTGCCTCCCACCTCCCTCGCGGACGGGGCGGCTGGCCTGGCGGGGGCTGACCCTCACCTCCCTCCCGGATGGGGTGGCTGCTGGGCGGAGACGCTCCTGACTTCCCAGACGGGCGGCTGCCGGGCGGAGGGGCTCCTCACTTCTCAGACGGGGCGGCTGCTGGGCGGAGGGGCTCCTCACTTCTCAGACGGGGCGGCTGCCGGGCGGAGGGGCTCCTTCTCAGACGGGGCGGCTGGACAGAGACGCTCCTCACCTCCCAGACGGGGTCGTGGCTGGGCAGAGGCGCTCCTCACATCCCAGACGGGGCGGCGGGGCAGAGGTGCTCCCCACATCTCAGATGATGGGTGGCCGGGCAGAGACGCTCCTCACTTCCTAGGTGGGATGGCGGCCGGGAAGAGGCACTCCTCACTTCCCAGACTGGGCAGCCGGGCAGAGGGGCTCCTTGTATCCCAAACGATGGGCGGCCAGGCAGAGACGCTCGTCACTTCCCAGATGGGGTGGCGGCCGGGCAGAGGCTGCAATCTCGGCACTTTGGGAGGCCAAGGCAGGCGGCTGGGAGGTGGAGGTTGTAGAGAGCCGAGATCACGCCACTGCACTCCAGCCTGGGCAACATTGAGCATTGAGTGAAGGAGACTCCGTCTGCAATCCCAGCACCTCGGGAGGCCGAGGCTGGCGGATCACTCGCGGTTAGGAGCTGGAGACCCGCCCGGCCAACACAGCGAAACCCCGTCTCCACCAAAAAATACGAAAACCAGTCAGGCGTGGCGGCACGCGCCTGCAATCGCAGGCACTCGGCAGGCTGAGGCAGGAGAATCAGGCAGGGAGGTTGCAGTGAGCAGAGATGGTGGCAGCACAGTCCAGCTTCGGCTCGGCATCAGAGGGAGACCGTGGAAAGAGAGGGAGAGGGAGACCATGGAAAGAGAGGGAGAGGGAGACCGTGGGGAGAGGAAGAGGGAGAGGGCAAGGGCGAGGGCGAGGGCGAGGGAGAATCCTCACTTCTTATGCCATTTATTTATATAGAGTATGTTGTGTATGTTCCTTGTCTCCCTGATGGGGCCACTACTCTGTGTAATGGATGAGACATGATGGAGTAGGTTGAGGAGGGAGATACATATGAGGTGAGTTTAAAGGAATTTGAATTATTTGGCATGAATAAGAGAAATCTGGGACTGTCTTAAAAAAAGTTTTGGGTTTTTTTGGTAATAATTTTATACTCAGAGAAATGTTGCAAGACCAAGATTAGTACAAAAAATATCTAAATACTCTTTATCCAGATTTACTTGTTAATGTTTTTTGCCATTTTCTTACCATTTGCTCTCTTTCATATATATGTATATATGAATAGGTATATATATGTTTATATGCATATTATGGCCCTTTATCTCCTAAATACTTCAACATGTATTTCCCAGTCATAGGGATTTAAAAAAAAATTGTACAGTATGGACTTCACTAAATTTAACATTGACGCAATAGTTTAATCTACCATTTGTATTCCAATTTTTTTTTCAATTGGCCCAGTCACCTTTATAGTATTTCTCCTTCCACAGACTGCTTTTTAAAGAGCAAAGAATGAGTCATGAGTAATTTTTAGTAGAAACTTTCTATTAAGGGCCTAAACACAATCATGGTGACTTAAAGTTGGATTCCTGTTTTGATCCACATCCATGCCTCCCACAAACCTTCCTGTCGCAGAAAATGACAGCACAATCCCATTAATTGTTCAAGCCAGAAACCTGAAGCTTATTTGGTTTCTCTTTTAACTTTATCCTTTGAGTTTAACCCATCACTGAGTCCTGTAGTTTCTCTCTCCCCTATATATCTTGAAACCCATCTATTGGCTGGGTGCAGTGGTTCACGCCTATAATCCCAGCACTTGGGGAGGCAGGAGGGTCACTTGAGCTCCGGAGTTCGAGACCAGCCTGGGCAACATACTGAGACCACACTCCCCCGCCCACCCCCGTCTACAAAAATTAAAAAGTTAGCTGGGTGTGGTGGCATGTGCCTGTAGTCCCAGCTACTAGGGAGGCTGAGATGAGAGGACTGCTTGAGCCCAGGAAGTCGAGGCTGCAGCGAACTATGATCACCCCACTGTACTCCAGAGTGGGACGACAGAGAGAGACCTTGTTTCAAAAAGAAAGAAAGAAACTTGTTTGTACCTTTCTATCCATCTACTTCAACCAGCCTAGTCTATCATTATTTCTCATCTGGACTCCTACCGACTTTCCTACCTGATTTTTTCCTGCTTCTACATTTTCTTCTTTCCTATTCATTCTCCACATAACAGCCAGAATGATCTTTTAGAAATGTAAATCAGATCGGCCAGGTGCAGTGGCTCACGCCTGTAATCCCAGCACTTTGTGAGGCCCAGGCAGGCGGATCACCTGAGGTCAGGAGTTCAAGACCAGCCTGGCTAACATGGTGAAACCCCATCTCTATTCAAAATACAAAAATTAGCCAGGCATGGTGGTGGCACCTGTAATCCCAGCTACTTGGGAGGCTGAGGCAGGAGAATTGCTTGAACCTGGGAAGTGGAGGTTGCAGTGAGCCGATATCATGCCACTGCACTCCAGCCTGGGTGACAGCGAGATTCCGTCTCCAAAAAGTAATAATAATAACAAAAAGTACATCAGATCGCATCACGCTCGTTTATACATTAAGTGGCTTTCCACTGCGCCAGAGCACTCTCTGCATAGCTTAACTCTTCTTTAGTCCACAACTTTAAAATATTCTCCCTCTGAGAGGCCTTACTTGATGCCCAGTTTGTTATTTTTCCTAAAGCATTTCGTTTTCCTTTATAGCACTTATGATTTGTAATTATTTAATTGTTTTTTTTTCTTTTTCTCTATTTCCTACACTAGGTTGTAAGTGCAAAATGCATAGGGACCAGGTCTGTTCTGTGCATTTTTGTATACCTAGCACATTGCTAGGATTATACTAGCTAGGTGATTAATAAATATTTGAATATTTGAGTGAAAGGAAACCTGAGAGGTTATCTAATCTTACCTCCCACCAATTTAAGAGTCTGCACTATCTCTGTCAAGTGCTTATCTAGCTTATTTTTTAATGCTTTCACAGATGGACAGCTTAGTGTTTTATGTAGTTTACTTTGTTGAATAATTTTGATAGTTTGAAAAGTTTTAGTTTTTGGGCTGAAAACTGCCCTTTTCTTATTTCTATTCATTGATCCTAGTTCTGCCCGTTTGTCACAACTTAAACTATTTTGACCCTACATATAGTATCTTAAACTATTTGACAGCAACCGTTATGTGTGCTCTTGGCTTTGTTAGGCTAAACCATTTATAAGCGCTTCAGCTTTTCATCATGTGACATGTTTCTTTACCCTTACCTCCTTTGTATCCCTTTTGCCAGGGTAGCTCTAAAAGTGGTTAATGAAGGATAAAGATATTTATAATCTTTGGTCCAGTCATCTGTGATTAAATGATTTATAGCACATTAATTCAATGTAATATATTGTAGCCCTTAAAATAACAAATATAACTGTAGAACTGTGGGATATATTTATAAAACAATGATATTTTAAAAGTAGAACATTAAATTGTACCTAGATAGTTCATATAGCTGACTCTGTGTGTGTAGATGAAATTTAGAAGGGTACATGAAGTAATGAGAATAGTTGTATAGTTGTGTTAGGGTGGTGGAATTATAGGGAGAAGTTTTTTTGTTTTTTGTTTTTTTTTTCCTTTGAGACAGAGTCTTCCTCTGTCACCCTGGCTGGAGTGCAGTGGTGTGATCTCAGATCACTACCTCCCAGGTTCAAGCGATTCTTGTGCCTCAGTGTCCAGAGTAGCTGGGATTACAGGCATCTGCCACCATGTCTGGCTGATTTTTGTATTTTTAGTAGAGATGAGGTTTCGTCCTGTTGGCCAGGCTGGTCTAGAACTCCTTGCCTCAAGTGAGCCACTCACCTTGGCCTCCCAAAATCCCAAAATGCTGGGATTATGGGTGTGCCACCATGTCTGGCTTTATTTATTTATTTAAGAGACTGGGTCTCACTGTGTTACCCAGGCTAGACTGGAACTCCTGGGCTTAAGTGATCCTCCCACTGCAGCCTTCCGAATAGCTTGGACTGTAGGCATGAGCCACCATGCCTGGCCCAGAAGTTTTAAAATATAGAGTATTTTATAATTAGTTTAATAAGAAAGGAGAAAATATAATGCTTGGAAAAGTCATTCCAACTAGAATTAAGTGAGATTTCAGTAGTCTGCATTAAGACTGTATTTCTTTTAATGTAGTTAAAGAATGCTTATTTTGTGGCCTTACCACATTATAATAATAGCCACATTTGGCTAGTGGCTGCTGTATTGACAGGGCAGATATATGTATTGGGTAAGGGCAGGTGGAGAACATTTCTTTTGGTACAGTGTTCTATGGATAGTGCCAGAATAAGAGATTGTGTGGGATGGATCACTCATGAGAGCAAGATAGGCAAAATGGTGACTTGTAGGCTGGCCGCGGTGGCTCACGCCTGTAATCCCAGCACTTTGGGAGGCCGAGGCAGGCGGATCACGAGGTCAGGAGATCGAGACCATCCTGGCCAACATGGTGAAACCCTGTCTCTACTAAAAATATAAAAAAAAAATTAGCTGGGTGTGGTGGCACACGCCTATAGTCCCAGGTACTCGGGAGGCTGAGGCAGGAGAATTGCTTGAACTCAGGAGGCGGAGGTTGCAGTGAGCCAAGATTGCGTCACTGCACTCCAGCCTGGCGACAGAGGAAGACTCTGTCTCAAAAAAAACAAAAACAAAATAGGTGATTTGTGTCCATACAATCCTTCTGAGGCTCAATCTTGAAGGTAGAGGAGCCAAGGTGAGGTGTGGGAACAGGGCCACAAGACATAGTTCATGGCACTGGCCATTAGGTGGCAGTGTCTCCTCAGGCCTGCTAGTTATTGGAGAAGCTCTTGGGGAGTAGGAAGAATGACGGGGGTGGGGAGCAGTCTTCTCGGTGAGTGGGCAAGGTTTCTGTATATATAAAAGTTTGTTGGTAGTATCTTTATATTTCAAAGAGTACCTATCACCACCACCACCACTGCCGCCGCCACCACCTCCTCTTACCATATTAAGTGCCACTGACAGGTTCAGTGGTCCTGATTCCTGACTCTCTATGTGAACTTGGACAAATTACTTAACTTTCCTAAAGCTATTTCTTCATCTGTGAAATGGGAATAAATATACCTATCTAGTAGTTGTTAAGGTAGGAGGTTAAGGTTAAGATGCGATAATTCTTTTTTTTTTTGGAGACAGAGTCTCTTGTCACCCAGGCTGGATTGCAGTGGTACAATCTTGGCTCACTGCAACCTCCGCCTTTTAGGTTCAATTGACTCTTATGCCTCAGCCTCCCAAGTAGCTGGGATTACAGGCATGTGCCCCCCAGACCTGGCTAATTTTTGTGTTTTTAGTACAGATAGGGTTTTACCATGTTGGCCAGGCTGGTCTCGAACTCCTGACCTCAGGTGATCCACCTGCCTTGGCCTCCCAAAGTGCTGGGATTACGGGCGTGAGCCACCGCGCCCAGCCTAAGATACAATTCTTATAAGTGAATAGCACAGTGCTACACATATACCTACTTGGTAAAAATTAGTTATCGTTAAGGGCCCTGACAGTCATGTTCTCCTCTTTTGTTTTCAGCAGGGACGGTTAAGCCTTTCCACCCTCTGGTTGCATAGGAAGGACAGTTTCTTGCCTCGGTCATGGAGATCCTGTATAGCCTGTCTTCCATGGGTGTTCCTGTCTCTTGAGATAGCAGCCCGAGCCAGCCCCAGGACATTATTCATTTGTATATACTAACATCTGTTATATGCCAGGCTCTGTGCTAGATGCTGAGTATTAAAAAAACGAGTCTTTAATTAGGCTATTGAGTATATGTTGTAGATATTTTCATTATGCTTATGTTTTTGAAATTACTTGTATTGCTCAAGTTCTGTATGCTTTTGTTGGTTGAGTTTGCTCATAACGTTTAGTAAGACCGAGTCCCTACTTCCTGCAGCCCCATTCAGCTGCAGGTGTGATTTCCACACCCTTCAGGTTTAGCCAATCCTGACTTAGGTGGGTGAATGGGGCCTGCAATTAGCATGGCTACCACAGGCACAATGTTTACCATTCCCATCAAGCTGCCACTTTCTTCTGGACTTAGCTGTAAATCAGAACTTCTGCCTTCTTTTCCCCTTTAGCATTTTCAGTCTCCTAATGGGACTGGAAGCCCATGTTGATCTCATGGTGGGATCTTGTTCCAAATATTGTCCCCACTATTTTCTTTATTTTTAACCTCCTCTTTGAGCTCTTTTCCTGCAGAAAAGAGGGTACAAAATAAAAACAAAAAAACAAAAAAACAAAAAAACCCAGGCCAGGCATGGTGGCTCATGCCTGTAATCCCAGCATTTTGGGAGGCTGAGGCGGGTGGATTACTTGAGCTCTGGAGTTCAAGACCAGCCTGGACAATGTGGCGGAAACCCATTCTTTACAAAAAATACAAAAATTAGCCAGGTGTGGTTGCACACACCTGTAGTCCCAGCTACTGGGGAGGCTGAGGCGGGAGGGTTGCTTGAGCCCAGGAGGTCGAGGCTGCGGTGAGCTGTGTTTGCACTACTTCACTCCTGCCTGGGTGGGTGACAGAGGGAGACTCTATCTCAAACAAAAAACAAAAAAACAAGATTACGTCTATGTTGTCTCAAGTTACTTTTTTTTTTTTTAAATAGGGTTTGTTTGAAAGAATAGAGTATGTTTCCTGACTGTTTATCTCTTTATTCTTGAACCTGCTGTAGTCAGGTTTCTGTCCTCATCTTGTCTCCTGAAACTGCTTTGGCAAAGGTGACCAAATTTGTAAACTACTAAGCCCAATTATTCTTTTTGGTTCTTAGTTTACTTATATGTGGAATTTGACACTACTGCTTGTTATCTTCAAAGTTTCTTGCAAATTACTTTTTTATTTCTCTTCTTTACTCTTGGATCATACGTTCTCTGTGCCACCCCCCGCCCCCCGCCCCGCTTCCCCCTCATCCATTTTTTAAGTGTTGGTGATACCAGGACTGTGCCTTTCTCTCCTTGTTGTACATCTTCTCCAGGTGACCTCACTTGTTTTTGGTGGGAAATTTGACCATCGTTCCTGTACTGATAATTCCCAAATCATCATCTTCCTTTCAGATTTTGCCCTTGCATTTCAGACTCCTTTGACCGGTAAACACCCTCGCGTATGCTCTCTAGATATGCACCTCAAAGTTAGCTTGATGTGCTAAGTTTGTGATGTTTTTCCCCAGACATAATGTTTGCCCTCAATCAAAGGCAAACATTATGCCTGGGGAAAAACATCATGTCCAGTCAGACAAGCCCAGAATTTTGAGCTCTTTCCTCTTATCTCCCACATCTAATCAATCACTCATCCATTTATTTGCTAAATATTATGTTCTCATTTTGTGCCCATTATTGTGACAAAAATTCTTTAGATTTAATATTGCTGATATCTTTTGTACCTTTTTGCTACAATCTTTGTTGTCTTTCTCATGTTGTAACTAACCTCTTAACCCATCTCCCCTTCTTAACCCATCTCCTGCGTACTTAAATCAAAGTGACTTTTCAAAATTCAGGTCAGATCTTTTTTTTTAATGGTTTAAAACCCTTTAGTTTCCTAATTGCCCATAGTAAAGTCCAGACTTCTTAGTATGGCACATAAGCCACTCTGTAGGCTGTATTTTTCCACTATTCTTCCTTTCTTCTTATGCATTTCTGAAACCCTGTTCACTACCATTGTTCAGCCAACAACAGTTTTCTGAATGTGTCATGCTGATTCTATGTTTTTGTTTATGCTCTTAGGCTGTATTGTTTTTTCACATTCAGTGTCTTTATTTCTATTTACCATTTATCTTTTGAAACTCAGCTCAAGCATTGCCTCCTCTACGAAGCCATTTATGTTATCCCTCTCTCCCAGTTAAGCACTTTCTTTTTTGTTCCCCCATGTGCTACCCCATATACTCTGCTCTAGCAGTTATAGTACTTCATTCCCCTTCTCTTGTCTACATGTCTTTTCCCTTATATTGGAAGGTCTTATTTTATCCACAACCTCTATCTTAGAGCCTGATTCATAATAGGCTTTCAATAAATGTTTAATAACTAAATGAATGTATTTTAAGTCATTGGTGTAATGAAAGCATTTCTTCCTTTACCAGATCATAAGCTGCTTATGGCAAGTACTGTATGTACCTTCTTTATTTTTCAGGATCTTGTCTTATAGTTACTTTATAAAAAAGTGTTGTGGCTGGGCACTGTGGCTCACGCCTGTAATCCCAGCACTTTTGGAGGCTGAGGTGGGTGGATCACCTGAGGTCAGGAGTTTGAGACCAGCGTGGCCAACATGGTGAAACCCTGTCTCTACTAAAAATACAAAAATTAGCTGGATGTAGTGGCGGGCGCCTGTAATCACAGTTACTTGGGAGGCTGAGGCAGGAGAATCACTTGAACCTGGGAGGTAGAGGTTGCAGTGAGCCAAGATCATGCCATTGCACTCCAGCCTGGGTGACAAGAGTGAAACTGTCTCAAAAAAAAAAAAAAAAAAAGGTGTTGTATTAATCTGAGGTGGAGGTTTGCAGTGGATTAAGTGTGGCCTCTCTACAAAGGAAGAAGTTGAGTTCTGTTAGTCCTAAGCACAATGAGATATTTGATGGTTATTATAATTAATTCATAGAGGCAAACATTGCACCTAACTTTAGTCACTTTGGTATTTGGCAAATCAAGCAGATTCTCAGTGTCGGTACTCGGGATTGGTTAAATGCTGTTAACTATTTTAAGGATTTTTACTTTTAAAAAATGTTAAGGTATGGGTGTCCTAGTTGCTATTAAGAGTTGTGTGAGCAATTATCTAAAACATTTTGTAACTAAATCATACAGGGAGCCAGTATTTGAAGAGCACAGTCATACTGAGACTAAAACTGCGCTATACTCTATTTCTTTTGTAATTTAGTATTTTTTTAAAAAAATGTTTTATGCCAAAAGTTTTAAGTTCCTTCTTCAAAAAAATGAAAGAAGTAGGTGTCGTGGATATGCGTAGAGATTGAGATTCTAAATTAGAATACATTATTAAGAAGGAAGCTATCAGGGAAGAGATCGGTTTCTTCATTAGGGTTAGTAACCCAATATAGTTTGTGGAGAGGTGGAAAAAAATCAATATCATGCATTAGTACCTGTTTTACTTACGTAAACAGGAACCTATGAATAGGAGCTTATAAACCAGTTCTATAGGACCTCAGATATTAATTGAAATATACTGCCAATTGTGTGATAAGCTGTTATACATTATGTGTGTGTGTGTATATACATATAGATGTGCTGATAATGTAAATTTGAGGTAAAAATTAGTAAAATACCTAGCAAGACACTGTTAAGGAATATGCTGTTTATTCTTGCTTTTAACCTACATTTGTAAAAAACCAGTTAGGTGCCAGCCTATGTCTTAGGGCTTGACTGAGGCAGCAGATGATTGAAAGTCAGTCTGTGTTCTCAAAGAACTTGGCCTCCAGTGGAGGGAAAATAAACTTTGAGTGTCTGAGGGGCATTACTTGGTGTGTTGACAAGAAATGAGAGCCCACATCTGAGGCTGGTGGGTTTGGCTTCTGCAAAGACGGTTTGATACCATGAAGAATGTGTGAAGGGTGAGGGGTAGTGCATTTCAGACACAAGACTATATGTGTAAACACATGTCTGTTAACCCCAGAACTCCCAACAAGTCAGGCATAAACCTTTACAATTAGTCGAATAATTGGGGCTGATGACTAACTACACCGTCCATAGAAACCTTGAAAATTCCCTAGCTCCCTTTTCCCTCCATTGGACTTGCTTCCCAGTGTATGGCCTCATATTTCTTTTTTATGACATTTATTATATTTTTGTGTTTTTTTTTTTTTTTTGAGACGGAGTCTCTCTCTGTCACCCTGGCTGGAATGAAGTGGTGTGATCTCGGCTCACTGCAAGCTCTGCCTCCCGGGCTCACGCCATTCTCCAGCCTCAGCCTCCCGAGTAGCTGGGACTACAGGTGCCTGCCACCTCGCCCGGCTAATTTTTTTGTGTTTTTAGTAGAGACGGGGTTTCACCGTGTTAGCCAGGATGGTCTTGATCTCCTGACCTCGTGATTCGCCCGCCTCAGACTCCCAAAGTGTTGGGATTACAGGCGTGAGCCACCGCGCTCGGCCATATTTTTGTGTTTTTAAATGTCTAGTCTTTGCTGGGCCATTAGCTCTAGGAGTGCAAGGTTCATATCTGTCTGTGACAACTGTATCCACAATAACTTGTGCAGTTGCTGGCACATAATGGATGTTCAGTAAATACTTAGTAGACAAATAATGCTTCTATGGGTGACATAATGGTGTTATGGAAAGCATATAGTAGTTCTGTTGAAGAAGAGAATGTGGTTTAATGCATGATTTTAAGTATGATTTTCCTTTCCCATTAGGTGGAATTTAGCCATCTAGACAGTAAAGAACACACATGCCTCTTGAGTTGCTCACCTCTGTTTTCCCCTGCCTACAGTGGTTTGGAAGACATAGATAACTATGAAATAGGACATTTTGGGTGAGGTTAGGGTCTAAAGTTAGCATGGAGTTTAAAAATCTTGTATAGTTGCCGTTGAGAAGCCAGATGGTGACTTAAGTTTAACCTGGTTATCTTTTCTTGCAGCTTTGGTTGAGTACCAAAGAGT
Source organism: Homo sapiens (assembly GCF_000001405.40). Lineage (NCBI taxonomy): Eukaryota > Metazoa > Chordata > Mammalia > Primates > Hominidae > Homo > Homo sapiens. The sequence continues at coordinate 84,358,256 of NC_000010.11, forward strand.
TGGTCAGTTCAGAGAGTTGGCTTCTGCAAAAAATACCCATTTTCAGATAGTAGTATATCACTGTTGGTAATTTGTTCATACTGTGCCAAGCATGTATAAACTGAGACTTACTGAGAGAGGAGGAGATTCATGTCTTTTCCTATATGTTCACTTTGTAAGTATATTTTTATAGAGTGGAATGATGGGTGGAATCACCTATACCATTAATGTTCCTCTAGCTCTGGAAAGTAATTTTACTTTGTCTAAATTCAAATATATATGTGTTGGGAGGCTGAGATGGGAAGATCACCTGAGCTCAGGAGTTGAGGCTGCAGTGAGCTGTGATAGCACCACTGCATGCTGGCTTGGGTGACAGTGAGACCCTATCTAAATATATATATATGTATATATGTGTATATATATATACATATACATATATGTATATATATATACACACACACACGTGTATATATATATTTATTAATTATACACAGACACGTAATGTGATTGCCTCAACTATTCCCTCCTCCACCATCTCCACTCTTTTCAGGTACAGAAGTTCATTTATTTACAAACAGTTTTAAGTTCTGAAAGGCTGTTCATAAATTCTTTTTGTAAATAATCGCTAACATTTTCCTTTGGTGTCAGGCATTGCTGAGAAACTTTCATTTTGATTGGTTGCCTTGTTCATATGTACAGAAGCTTATGAGTTGAAAGTAGAGGAGTTTCTGTATGTGGGACCTGTGAACCTAGGCATTTACTGTCTCCTGGTCCTAGGACCCTGCTTTGCTTAGTGAAGTTTGCTCTTCAGAAAGATTCCTGTAACCTTCTCCCACTGGAAATGACTCAAGACCAGGAATATCTAATTTTCAGGACATACACTTTTTTGTCCCAACTTTTTTTTTTCTTTTTAAAAAGTGCTTTATGTCCAAAGGATTACTTAATTCCCCTAGGATGAGTTAATTCAGGCATTACTGTATCAATAGTATTTTATACAGTTGTGGAATTGGGAGGGGACTTCATTTATCTCCCCCTGGTGCACCTGCAACTCTGAAGGGTCCATTGTATCTGGGGGAAACAGAATGGAATGTAAAAAATGTTTAGTTGATTTATGTGAGGGTCAGGTCAAGAACAGGTTAAACTAATTACGATAATAGGGGTTAAAATAGAGCAGTGGTTCCACAGTGTTTGTGTGTATCAGAATCACCTGGAAGGCTTTATTAAAACAAGATCTCTGGGCTCTACAGAATTGCTGAGCACTATATCTAAGGTAAGGCCTTAGAAAATCTATTTTTAACAAGTTTCTAGGTGTTATTGATGCTACTGCTGATCAGCCTTGGTCAGGGTAGTTAGAAGTTTATGATTTTGCTAATTCAAGAGTCCTTTGTCTTTTGTAGGAGGAGTTAAATGTAGAGATCCAGGGTTTGGGAGTTCTCTGAATAGGGGTATATAAGTGCTCCTGAGAGAGAATGAAAATGAATGCTAAGAGAAGGAGGATAATGTGGAATGTGCTGAAATTTATTTCCTATCTCTTTCCCTGATGAAAGCATCCTTATTTGGGGTTTACTTTTTTATTTTTATTTTATTTTTTTTTTCTGAGACAGAGTCTCACTCTGTTGTCCAGGCTGGAGTGCAGTCGTGCAATGTCAGCTCACTGCAACTTCCACCTCCCGAGTTCAAGTGATTCTCCTATCTCAGCCTCCCAAGTAGCTGGGATTATAGGCACCTGCCACCACACCCAGCTGATTTTTGTATTTTTAGTAGAGATGGGGTTTCACCATCTTGGCCAGGCTGGTCTGGAACTCCTGACCTCAGGTGATCACCTGTCTCAACCACCTAAAGTGCTGGGATGACAGGTGTGAGCCACTGTGCCTGGCTGGGGTTTACTTTTTTAAATGGAAGTTTTATATGGATGTTTTCAAACATCATGTGTAGAGAAAACAGCATAATTAATCCCTGGTGTTATTTACCACTTACCTTTTAATAGTTTCAGTTTTAACTGTCACACTCCCTTTTTTGAGGGGTGTTTTGATATTTAATGGAGTGTTTCAGATTTTCTTACTTTGTGATTCTATCTTTTTTTCTGTATTTATCAGTTGTGGTTCTTCTATAAAGAAGATTTTCCATCAATTTTTTGGTTACTTTGAAATACAAGAAGAGCAGGATACATGCTTATTTCTTTTATCAATTTGTAGAATAAGTTGTCTTTGCAGTAAGGCTTATTTTTACTATTTATAGGAGTAGAAGCAGTTTGAGGCTTTTAATTTTTTAAGAGAAGCTTTAAAAAATGAAGTATAACTTACATACAATAAAATACATAAATCTTAAATGATGTACTCTTGGTGAATTTTACACCATCCAGATCAAGTTGCCAATGTCTCAGTCAACCCCTTTTCAGTTAGCCCGCTCTTGCAGAGTTAGTCTCTGTCCCAGGGATTTCCAACGTATGAATTCCAGATCGGCAGAATCAACATCACCTGGAAACTTGTTAAAAATACTTTTTCCTAAGGCCTTACCTTTGATATGTTGGTTCAGAAACTCTGGGAGTGGAGTCCAGAGATCTTGTTTTAATGAAGTCTTCCGGGTGATTCTGATACACACAAGCACTGTGGAACCACTGCTGTATTCTAACACATATTATCATAATTACTTTAATCAGTTCTTGACCTTACTCTCACATAAATGGATCAACTGAACATTTCTCCCATTCCATTCTGTTTCCTCCACATGCACTGGATTTTTTTCCTGTGCCCCTGGGTGAGAAGTCTTGCTGCTGCTTCCCCAGCAGTTTAAGGCTTTTGCTTCAGAGGACAGAAGGAGGCAGGGAAGTGAGAGGGTTTGTGTTTGTTCCAGTGCAGGCTTTCATCACCTCCTGCATGCCTGTGCCGTTAAGAGGGGGCTTTCTTATATGTTTCTCTTGAATGCTAGGTTGAGGCCCATGAGGAAGAGCTTGCTGTTGTGCTAGTCCACATTTGGCTTTTAAGCAGACATTAAAATGTTAGCTTATTACTCCTTTTTATGGTGGTCATTTCTGTCTTTTATGCTCAGCCAAAAGTGAAACTGTTAAATGTCCCGTCTCTCCTGGGAGGGGCTTGTCTCCCTTTGGAATTTGGTTGACTTGCTTGCCTTACAATAACAGCTTTCTGATGGGCTTATGAAAGGTTATGATTTTGAAGATTATCTGGCTCTTCCAGGTTTTTAGGTAGGAGTGATATTAATTGCAGCTTTTTACATCGAAAATGGAAATCTGACCTTCATATAAATGGAATCACACTATATTTATCCTCAAGTCTCTGGATTCTCTTGTTTAAAGGATCCTGTTAGTTTTATCTGTATTGTTGCATATAGCAATAATTAGGTCTTCATTACCATGTTGTATTCTATTATGTAGAAACTACCACTAACATTTTTCTTTTTTTTTTTTGAGATGGAGTTTCGCTCTTGTTGTCCAGGCTAGAGTGCAGTGGTGCAATCTCACCTCACTGCAACCTCTGCGTTTTGGATTTTTGGATTCTCCTGCCTCAGCCTCCCGAGTAGCTGGGATTACAGGCATGCACCACCATGCCTGGCTAATTTTGTATTTTGAGTAGAGACAGGGTTTCTCCACATTGGTCAGGCTGGTCTTGAACTCCCGACCTCAGGTGATCCGCCCACCTCGGCCTCCCAAAGTGCTGGGATTACAGGCGTGAGCCACCGTGCCTGGCCTCACTAACATTTTTCTATGAAACTATAATTCTAACGTATGTAGATGTTTACAAAATGTTTCATGTTTAGGTATTTACTGTTTGTCATATACTGAGCAAGCTGGGGCTTGAGTAGTGTATTCTGGTGAATCAAACCCAGTATGTGCCATTAGTGAATTTATGGCCTAGTAGTCTTCCATCCATGTTAATGTTACTCCTGTTACTGTTCTTCCTGATGCTGGATCTCCTATGGCCCTGTCCCTACTGCCCATTTAATTTAATATAGGGAACTTTGCTCAAGCAGATCCTGTATAGACTGAAATGTTAAATGTTTGCTTGTTTTGATTTGACCTGGTGTTTGTAAAATGTCTGTACTTAATTGTTATAGGTGTCTACTATTTTAAAAGGCAGTATATGGGTCAATATTGACGTAGTTTGGCATGTGTCATCTTTTCCTAGCCCTCTGCACATTAATGACATTTGCATGCCCCACAGGTATTTGAGTTTTGTGTTCCTGTACCAACTGGTAAAATTTGGAGGGAGAAATTTTTATGGTTTGGCCAGGGGAACTTCTGGTTCCTCTTGTTAGTATTTTTGTTCTTTTAAGTTTAAATTTCAGGAAGTAATATACATTGGATCTGCATAATAACCTTATTTAATGTTCTTAAACCACAAATTCCTTTTGAGCTTAACTTTTACAAGTTACTTTGAACTCCATTTATGTGAGTGAAAATGAAGTTGTAGCTGGAGCACAGAAAGGTCATATTGATACAATAAAGAGGCTTTGTGTTGAGCATGGCATGTCCTCTTTAAAACTTTGAAGAATCTGGAAGTAAGCGCACCATTTTAAACCTTTACTTTGGCTAAAGTTGTCATTTTTGCTTATTTAATTGGTATTTTATTTTATTTTATTTTAATTTATTTTATTTTATTTTTGAGATGGAGTTTCACTCTTGTCACCCAGGCTGGAGTGCAATGGCGCAATCTCCGGTCACTGCAACCTCTGCCTTCTGGGTTCAAGCAATGCTTTAGCCTCAGCCTCCCAAGTAGCTAGAATTACAGGTGCCTGCCACCACGCCCAGCTAATTTTTTTTTTTTTTTGTATTTTTAGTAGAGATGGGGTTTTACCATGTTGGCCAGGCTGGTCTCAAACTCCTGACCTCAGGTGATCCACCCGCCTTGGCCTCCCAAAGTGCTGGGATTACAGGTGTGAGCCACCACACCCAGCTATTTTTTTTTTTTTTTTTTGTATTTTTAGTAGAGATGGGGTTTTACCATGTTGGCCAGACTGGTCTCAAACTCCTGACCTCAGGTGATCCACCTGCCTGGGCCTCCCAAAGTGCTGGGATTACAGGTGTGAGCCACCACGCCTGGCCACTTATTTAATTGCTATAATCAAGCCTTTGAATCAGCTTATGCCACAGATGACAGCCAGGAAAAAATGGGAAAAGGGGATATGAAAGAAGTAGTTGAGTAACACAAGGTTAAAAAAAATTACTTTAAATTCTGATCTAGTTGTCTGAACTTGAAAGCAGATTTCCGAAGTAACTGCTTATACGTGTGTAGTCATCAGTATTGTTGTTCAGTTAATTGCTCTTGTACTTAGTAGTGAGTTTATGTCTGTTTAAACCCCTAAAATGCAGACAATTTATACCTTCTAAAAAACTATTTGAAAAACTAAAAAAAGACAGTGAGTGGGTGGTTCCTCAGATGATGAGGTAATGGATATGAAAGGAGTTTGAAAAAGTGACAGCTCTTACTGTTCTTCTGCTAAATTTCTGTAATTAATATCTAGGTCCTTTGCAGTCTTTATGGTTTTCCTCTGACATTAGCCATTCAGTCCCTTCCTTCATTCTTGTCCCTTGTTGTTAGTAGGCTTCTCAGAATACAGGCAGCATCGCTTAACGAAGGGGATCTGTTCTGAGAAATGCCTCCTTAGGCCATTGTTGTTCTGTGAACATCATAGAGTATACTTACACAGATGCAGATGGTATAGCCTACTACACACCAAGGCTATATGGTATACTATCTTGCTTATAGGCTACAAACCTGTACAGCATATTACTGTATTGAATACTGTAGGCAGTTGTAACACAATGGTAAGGAATTGTTTATCTAAAGTTATGTAAACATAGAAAAGTTACAATAAAAATACTATATAAAAGAGAAAAAAATGGTATACCAGTATGGGGCACTTGAATGGAGCTTACAGGACTGAAAGTTGCTCTGGATGAGTTAGTGAGTGAGTGGTGAGTGAATGTGAAGGCCTAAGACATCATTGCACACTAGTATAGACTTTATAAACTCTGTACAAACAGATACAATAAATATGTAAAAAATAAAGTAATTGCATTACAATGTTACAATGGCTAGCATGTCACTAGGCTATAGGAATTTTTCAGCTCCACTGTAATCTCATGGGACCATCGTTGTAAATATAGTCCATTATTGACTGTAACATCATTGCTTGGCTCACTGACTGTATTTCATTCCTTTGTCATGAAGGCAGTTTTCATTGGCCCTGGAATCAGGTAAACTTGAACCCGAATCCTCTTTGACAGTTTATGAATTTGTGACTTTGGACAAGTATATTAGCCTCTCTGAATCTTGGTTTTAGCTATTTAAGATGGGAAGAAATCTACTACCTTATAATGTTATGAAGATTAAACAAAAAGTATGAAGTGGTAAGCATGGTACCTATCATGTAAGTGCTTAATAATATTTGCTGCTGCTTTTCCCTTATCCAATTGTGGATTTCTTTTAAAAGCGAGAAGCTTGATTTACAGTTTTAAAAAAAGGCATTTATAAGTATTTTTGAATTTTTTTTTGTTTTTTTTTTTTTGAGATGGAGTCTGGCTCTTTTGTCCAGGCTGTAGTGCAGTGGTATGATCTCGGCTCACTGCAACCTCTGCCTCCCGAGTTCAAGTGATTCTTGTGCCTCAGCCTCCCGAGTAGCTCAGATTACAGGTGTGTGCCACCATGCCTGGCTAATTTTTGTATTTGTGGCAGAGACAGGGTCTCACCATATTGGCCAGGCTGGTCTCGAACTCCTGACCTCAGGTGATCTACATGCTTCAGCTGCCCAGAGTGCTGGGATTATAGGCGTGAGTCACCACGCCCGGCCTGAAAAAAATTTTTAAATATTAAATACCAATACTGTAAATTTGCTATACTTTAAAAAATTATTCTTGCAGAAACTAAAAAAAAACTGACATTTTCAAGCACTGGTCCAGATATTAGTCTTAGTTCACCACTAAATTAAAGCTCACAGATGGTATTAAAGTGTCTCAGAGATTATATCATTAGATGATGTAGGCAACATATATTTTTTCAAATTGTTAATGAATGGATTTTTTAGACACCTAACAGATTACAGTTTAGGTAAAGTGCATCAAAGACAGCATGGCTACCAAAATGAAGCAGACTCACAATGTCTATTTTATTTTATTTCAAAATTATAAGCAAATATAAGGGAAAATTTCATGAACTTTTAAAGACAGATGGTAGCTCATCAACGAATGAAGTGATAATATTCATAACGTAAACTTCATAGTGGAGCTGTCAGACTAGTTTATCTTAAGACCAAAGTTCAAGATGATTGATGTGATTTGTGTTGCAATTATTTGTACATTTAGAAATCGTTATTCTTCATAGAGAATAGCACATTCAGGTTCTAACATTATTCTTTTCCCCCACAAACTGGTGGAACCACAAACACCAGTAACAGTGTGTCTCTCTTGTGGGCTCATCTTGTGCCTCTAAGTTATTAATACTGAAGATGCTCTTGGGAGATAACATGTATTACCCTCATCTTAGGCAGGAAAATAGAGGCATAGAGAAAGGAAAGAATATAATTTTCTTTCCGTGGTCTACTTGTGACAGGCGGGGAAATGTTAAAGCCTTTCTGACTCACAGGCTCTTTAATCTTTAACATGTATTATTTATTGATTTGCAAAATGACCCTAATATGTAATATCAATACCAGTTTTCTTATGTTTATACCGAAAGTGGTTGTGGGTATGGTAGTATGTTTTGTGGAAAAGACCATTATCAAAAATGAGGAAGACAGTTGTCTGGCATGGATATTGCCACTGTCCCTTGCTCTGCTCCTGGCAAACATTGCTGCTTGATCATGTCACTACTTCAGAAGCTAGATTTGACCTCAGCATCCTTTTTGTTTTTTAAAAATTTTAATGTTAAATTTTTAGTAGAGATGAGGTCTCACTATGTTGCTCAGTATGGCCTTCAACTCCTGAGCTCAAGCGATCCTTTCGCCTCAGCTTCCCAAACTGTTGAGATTACAGGTGTGAGCCACTGTGCCCGGCCTCGGAATCCTTTTCAACATATTGCCCAAGGGAGCTATTACCAGTCAATCACAGGTCCACAAAACAAAGTTCTTTTTTAGTCTTTCCTTACTGTTGAATTAATTTACATTAAGAGATTATGAATTTACTTAAAAGTTGAGGATCTATTAAATTTGTAGTCCTGTAGCTGGCCTCAAAGTACAGTATATAAGACTTAGTTTATGTTCTCAGCAGGTTTACTTTCCTGTGGGTCAAATAGACATGCACACAATTAGAAGACAAACTCAGCTATATTATTGCTGTGAAGAGAATAGAGAATGATGTAAGATTAATTTTAACTGGAAATGTTGGTGGATGTGGTGATTTTGGACTTTGAGGATAGAATCTTCCAAGGGGTCTTTAGCAAAGGCAAAGAAGTTAGAAAATATAGGATGGATTTTGGGCAATGACAAATAACGTATCTTGGCTTAAGTATATAACAAGGATAAGGTAGAATCAAATAGAGTAGCTTGCTCCCTGTACAATGAGTTTTGGGTTTTATTTTGTTGTTCCTAGTCTCACAGATGGTTTTTAATCAGTAGAATGACGTGATCCAGATCTTTGCTTTAAGAAGATAACTGCTGACAGTTTGAATAGAAGTAAGGTTGGAATCTTGACAAATGTAGGAATCCTTGGTAGTAGTACAGGAAGAAATGATGAGCATAAGAACTAGAATTGTGGAATGGAAGTGGTGAATTTAGAATAAATTTTTAATGGTAAAATTAATGTGATTCCTACAGGATTAAGTTATCCCCAGAGGCTCCAGCATTTCTTTGGAAGGTTATCCAGTTATTTCCTTTGTATATTCCAAGTTTAAAAAATTTTTTAAAGGTGATTTTTTTTCTCTACTTGTATTTCTGGAGAATTATTTCTTTATCCTTGGTATTTCATTAACTTAAATAGGATACGTATTTGCATCTGTGATTTGATATATTTTTTCTTTCCCTCCATAGATTTTTTTTCACCTTTATTTTAGGGATATTTTCTATTATGTCCTCCTGCCTTTTCTCTTCCATTTAATTAGTTATTCTACTTCAGGGATACTAATTATCTTTCTGTTCAGCCTTTGTCCTACATTTTCTTTCTAATTCAATATCTTTGTCTTTTTTTTCTCCTCGATACTTTTTTTTTTTTGAAACAGGGTCTCACTCTTTCAGCCAGGCTGGAGCGCAGTGGCTTGATCACGGCTCACTGCAGCCTCAACCTCGTGGGCTCAGTTGATCTTCCCGCTTTAGCCTTCTGAGTAGCTGGGACAACAGGTGTGTGCCACCATGCCTGGCTAATTCTTGTATTTTTTTTGTAGAGATGAGGTTTTGCCATGTTGTCCAGGCTGGTCTCACACTCCTGGTCTCAAGTGATCAACCCACCTTAGCCTCCTCGATATACTCTTGTTACCTTAAGATTTTTCTCCTTGCCATTTGTTTAAGTCTTTGCTTCTTTTCCTTGCTTTTTTTTTTTTTTCTTTCAAATTCATTGTTCTTCTTAATTGGTTTCCTTAACGCTGAAGCCTTTCTTTTCAATTTACCTGTTTTGTCTTTTCATCTTTGGGCTTTTGTTTCATTAGATGCATGTTCTTATTAGGTTGTTCTGTGTTACAAGAAACTGTTTATATGATTGTATGGGCATTTCTTTTTGTCTTGCTCAGGCTTAATTTGGATACCTAGGTCAAGACTTCGCTTTTGCCCTTCTGTGGCCCTATGCTTTCCCATCTCCTTAGATTGCGTTAAATGTCCTATACCAGTCTCATTTCATACTGCTGAGGGTACAGTACATGTCTATGGGCTTCAGATCCTTCCCTCAACTCAGTATAGGGACTTAGAAGTTGGCAGATCCTGGTGATGCCTCTGCCTAGGTTTTGAAGCCTCTGTGCTCGGGATATTTTTCCTCAACTTTTGTAGGGCATGGCAAATCAAATTTTTTCTATCCAAACTAGAGGTATTTCTTAAAATTTTCAAGTTTTTTAGTTCACATTTCTTTCTCACTACTGCTTCCAGGCAGTAATCAGGCTGCCAGTCATACTGTACCATACAGAATTTTTTTCTGTCCGCTACTTTTTAAACTTTATAAGTTCTTAGTTTAAATAGTTTTTTGTATTACAGTGTGTAACTGATAGGTTTTCTGCTGAAAAAAACCACATACACACAAATATATATATATATCTCTTAGTTGTTGGTAACAGGACGTTCTTTAGTCTTTTTTCACTCTATACTTGAACATTTGTACGATTTTCTAAATATTTACTTTTGACATAATAACATGTATTATAGGAACTCTACTTCTTAGGCCAGGGTTGACTTGGAATCAGTTGTTTTAAAAATAAAAAAAAATTCTCATGACTTTAGTAATTAAGGTTTTTCGAATGTCTTCTAGCTTTTATAAAACCATGTATTTTTTTAAAAAAATAATATGTTCTTTAATTACCTTTTATTTCACTGGCTTTAAGGGAACAGGTGATTTTTGGCTGCATGAATGAATTGTGTAGTGGTGAAGTCTGAGATTTTAGTGCACGTGCCACCCGAATAGTATACATTGTACCCTACTACATTGTGTAGTTTTTAAAAAATCTCTCATCCCTCTCCCATCATCCCCCTTTCTGAGTCTCCAGTGTCCATTATTCCTCTCTGTATGCCTTTGCATACCCATAACTTAGCTCTTAATTACAAGTAAGAACATGTGGTATTTGGTTTTTCATTCCTGAATTACTTCAGAATAATGGCCTCCATCTCCATCCACGTTGCTTCAAAAGATATTATTTCATTCTTTTTTATGGCTGAGTAGTATTCCATGGTGTATTTTTTTAATTCACTCATTGGTTGATGGGTACTTAGGTTGGTTCCACATCTGGCAATTGTGAATTTTGCTGTGATAAACATACATATGCAGGTTTTTTTTTTTTTTGATACAGTTTTCCTTTGGGTAGATACCCAGTAGTGAGATTGCTGGATCAAATGGTAGATTTAGTTCTTTGAGAAATCTACATACTGTTTCCCATAGAGGTAGTACTAATTTACATTACCACCAGCAGTACCTAAATGTTCCCTTTTCATCACATCTATGCCAATATCTATTGTTTTTTGACTTTTTAATAATAGCCATTCTGGCTGGGATAAGGTGATATCTCATTGTGGTTTTAATTTGCACGTCCCTGATGATTAGTGATGTTGAGCATTTTTTTTTCATGTTTCTTGGTCATTGTATACCTTCTTTTGAAAAATGTTTGTTGATGTTATTTGCCCACTTTTTGATGGGATTATTTTTTTCCTTGCAGATTAGTTGGAGTTCCTTATAGATTCTGGATACTAATCTTTTGTTAGATGCATAGTTTGCAAGTATTTTCTCCCATTCTGTGGGTTGTCTGTTTACTCTGATTATTTTTTGCTGAGCAGAAGCTTTTTAGTTTAATTAGGTCTCATTTATTTTTTTGTTGCATTTGCTTTTTGTGTCTTAGTCGTAAATTCTTTGCCTAGACCAATATCCAGAAGAGTTTTTCCTAGGTTTTCTTCTAGCATTTTTATGGTTTCATGCCTTGGATTTAAGTCTTAAATCCATCTTGGTTGATTTTTGTATATGGTAAGAGATAGGGATCCAATTTCATTCTTCTACATGTGGCTATCCAGTTTTCCTGGCAACATTTATTGAATAAGGCGTTCTTTTCCCAATTTTCATTTATGTATGCTTTGTCAAAGGTCAGTTGATTGTATTTGGCTTTATTTCTGGGTTCTCTACTCTGTTCCTTTGCTCTATGTATGTACTTTTATACCAGTACCATGCTGTTTTTGTTACTATAGTAGCCTTGTAGTATAATTTGAAGTTGAGTAATGTGATGCCTCCAGATTTGGTTTTTTGTTTAAGATTGTTTTTTGGTTCCATATGAATTTTAGGATTGTTTTGTCTAATTCTGGGAAAAATGATGTTGGTATTTCGATACAAATTGCATTGAATCTGTAGACTGCTTTGGGCAGCATGGTCATTTTCATGATATGGATTCCTCTAATGCATGAGTGTGGGATGTATTTCCATTCGTTTGCATTGTCTGTGATTTCTTTCAGAAGTGTTTTGCACTTCTCCTTGTAGAGATCTTTTACTTCCTTGGTTAAGTATACCTAGGTATTTTATTTTATTTTTTTGCAGCTATGGTCAAAGGGATTGAGTTCTTGATTCTCAGCTTAGTCATTGTTGGTATGCTACTGATTTGTGTACTTTGATTTTGCAACCTGTGACTTTACTGGATTTATCAAATCTTGGAATCTTTTGGAGGAGTCCGTAGGATTTTCTAGATATATAATCATATCATTGGCAAACAGAGATAGTTTGACTTCTTCTTTTCCAATCTGAATGCCTTTTATTTCATTCTCTTGCCTGAGTGCACTGGCTGTGGCTTTCCATATGTTCTTATTTTTAAAGGAGAGACTTTTACCCAAAATGAAAAAATTATTTGGATTGGAAATTGGAAGAAGTACTCTGTAAGTATTATTTTTTACATAGTCAAATTTGGTGGTTTAATTTTATTTCTAGATTTTGCTGTCATTCATAGCATACATTTATAAAAGTTTATAAAAATGTTCTTTATTTTCTTCCAACATAAAGTTATTAATTTAATTAGTGCATTCGGTATTTGCCAGGAGTTCTGTAGGAATCATGAGTAGCTTTTGGGTTTTTCTGCGTATAAAAGTGTAAGTATCATATTATGTAATAATTCATGTAATTATCCTTATTTAGGAATGTTTAATGTACTTCTTTTTTCTCTTCACAGATTCTTTCAACTTTTAAGAACAAATGCACCTTATAGCTCATGGAAGAAAAAACACAAATCAAGACATTTTTGGGTTCCAAGTTGCCAAAGTATGGAACAAAATCTGTAAGAAGTACATTGCAGCCAATGCCAAATGGGACACCTGTTAATTTATTAGGAACTTCCAAGAATAGTAATGTCAAAAGTTACATCAAAAATAATGGCTCTGATTGTCCATCATCTCATTCATTTAATTGGAGGAAAGCAAATAAATATCAGCTTTGTGCACAAGGTGTCGAAGAGCCTAACAATACTCAAAATTCACATGATAAAATAATTGATCCTGAAAAACGTGTTCCTACTCAAGGAATGTTTGATAAAAATGGGATAAAGGGAGGTTTGAAAAGTGTTTCTTTATTCACATCAAAGTTAGCAAAGCCATCCACTATGTTTGTGTCATCTACAGAGGAGTTAAACCAAAAGTCTTTTTCTGGACCATCTAATTTGGGTAAATTCACCAAAGGCACATTATTAGGAAGGACTTCATATTCTTCGATCAATACTCCAAAATCACAGTTGAATGGATTTTATGGAAACCGATCAGCTGGTAGCATGCAAAGGCCTAGAGCGAACTCCTGTGCCACCAGAAGCAGTTCTGGAGAAAGCTTAGCTCAATCCCCAGACAGTAGTAAATCTATTAATTGTGAAAAAATGGTAAGGTCACAAAGTTTTTCACATTCCATTCAGAATTCATTCCTTCCACCTTCATCTATAACCAGATCACATTCCTTTAATAGAGCTGTGGATCTTACAAAGCCTTATCAGAACCAACAGCTATCCATTAGAGTGCCTCTACGGTCAAGTATGCTAACAAGAAATTCCCGGCAGCCAGAAGTACTCAATGGGAATGAACATTTGGGGTATGGATTTAATAGGCCTTATGCTGCTGGTGGAAAGAAGTTGGCTTTACCAAATGGCCCAGGTGTAACTTCTACTTTAGGTTATAGAATGGTTCATCCCTCTCTACTGAAATCTAGCCGATCTCCATTTTCTGGGACTATGACAGTTGATGGAAATAAAAATTCACCTGCTGACACATGTGTAGAGGAAGATGCTACAGTTTTGGCTAAGGACAGAGCTGCTAATAAGGACCAAGAACTGATTGAAAATGAAAGTTATAGAACAAAAAACAACCAGACCATGAAACATGATGCTAAAATGAGATACCTGAGTGATGATGTGGATGACATTTCCTTGTCGTCTTTGTCATCTTCTGATAAGAATGATTTAAGTGAAGACTTTAGTGATGATTTTATAGATATAGAAGACTCCAACAGAACTAGAATAACTCCAGAGGAAATGTCTCTCAAAGAAGAGAAACATGAAAATGGGCCACCACAGGATATGTTTGATTCCCCCAAGGAAAATGAAAAAGCCTTCAGTAAAACTGATGAATGGATAGATATAAGTGTCTCTGGTAAATATTACTTACCTTAAGTTTTTTTGCTTTCTTTTAAATAATATAACTGAACTTACATTTAGGATTATCTTCAGATAGATTTCAAGATATTATCAGTTTCACGGAGGGATAGATCTAGACAAAATTGAGGTGGGTTAACGTTTATTTTCCTGTGACTTTTGCTCCATACCCCATTTTTCACCCTATCCAAGACAATATTAATAAAACCACTCTTAACCTTTGTTGTTCTTTGGCTGTTATACACAGCCTATTCCTGCTTAGTATATGCAGTGCTTCTAAATGACTTCCCCTGCTTACCTCAACCAGTGTGGTATGCCATTAAACAAACCATCTCTTCTCTTAGGATAGCATTTCATTGCTATTTGTTAAGAGTAAAGCTGTACCAAAGGGTACAATGAGATAATATAGGTTATGTCTAATCTCACGGATTTTTTTATCCTAGAAAATTCTTCTTGTTTAGCAATTTTTTAGATACACTTCCTGAGAGAGCTTTATTTATTTATTAAACTGAAGAAAGTGAAATAATACCTGTTAAACATTTCCTCTTATGTTTGGTTATCCTGTTACTAAATGCTGGATAAAATGTATTTGGTATTTGTATGCCCATATACCTGAATAAAGAACAACTAAAGGGATTAGATATAGACATGTGGTATAATCAGGGGACTAGATCGTGCATAGAAATGCATGTACAAACCCTTGATTGTCTATAGGTCTTCTAAAAGAGACTGCCGGAACAAGTTTATTTCCTTATAGGGAGGCAATTATGAGTACCCTACATTATTTAATCTATGAAGTTAAATAGTGTACACAGAGGAAAAGGAGTTTCCTGGCCAGTGTTTAAAAATAAATATCTTGGGAAATATAGGAATATGAGGGTTTATTTACATTTTTGGAAATATTACAGAAGTGAAAGATGACTAAATGAATTTTCTTTTCCTCTATTAGAAAATATTTCAGTAGGTTATTTTAAAGATTTTGGCTCTTGATGTTTTTATTGCTTAGGATATAGAAAATGCTACAGTTATGAGTGCTTTTTTTGAGCCAGCTTTTTTGCTATGATATATCAAATTATTAGCACTTATATTTTTAGGACACGAGAAACAATTATATTTTTGTGAATCAGTAACCTTTTTTCTCTTGAAGACAGGAGTGAATGTACAAAACATACTTCTGGGAATAATTTGGTTTCACCAGATACAGACTACAGAGCTGGTTCTTCGTTTGAACTCTCTCCATCTGATAGCTCTGATGGAACATACATGTGGGATGAAGAAGGCTTGGAACCCATTGGAAATGTCCATCCAGTTGGGAGCTATGAGTCCTCTGAAATGAACAGCATAGTATGTATGGATTTATATACTCTTGGAATATTTTGTTTACCCTACTATAGAGAGACTTGTGATATGATTGATTTTGTAAAAAATTTATGAATTAACTTTACTACTTTGAGAAATGGAAATTCATATTTGTTAAGAGCCTATAAAATATCTGACTCTAATATGAAATAAAGCATGGAGAATATATGACATTTGACTTAAATATACTCAACATGTTTACATATATATTCCTCATACATATGTGCATACTATATTAGTAGTTTAATCTATGCCAGTGGTTCTCAAAGACTGGGGGAGGAGGTCAATGACTGGAGGTGGTTTTGGTTGTCATATTGATGAGTGCTTCTTGGCATCTAGTGGGTAGATGCCAAGGATGTTGTTTAACATCCCACAGTCCACAAGACAGAGACCACAATGAATTATCTAGCCTAAGATGGCAGTACTGCTGCTGTTGAGAAACCTTGGCCTGTGCTATACTGAGGTAACATTGAAGTGCCAACTCTCAGTGGGATAATACAATACAAGTGTATTATTTTACTCTTAGAAAGTTTGTTGTGGGTCTGGACAGCTCTCTAGGGCAGCTGTCTTTAGTGATCTAAACTACTTTGATTTTGGGGCTTGACCATCTTTTGAGGTCCCTTCTTTTCACTATGGCAGAGGAAGAGAGTGCCAGAGGGTCTCACACATATAATTACTTGCATTGGCCTGCAGGCAACACTTGGCACTTCCGTTCATGATCTGTTGACCAGAACTAATCATGTGGTCCCATCTGAGTACTAAAGGGACAGGAAGTGTAATCTTTGTGTGTGCCTGGAAGGCAAGGGAATCAGCTATGGGCAAGTGTTAGAAGACCTGCCATGAATTTATATGTGCATATTTTAAGAAACATGGCAAGTAATGTGGATAATATGCCATATGGGTAAAGTGTAATTGGTATGTTTAAAGTGACTCATTGCAGTTATTCAGTATATAAAATACGATTTTCCAGTAGTTGTATGGGAAAATTGGTAGTCTGTGGATATATTAAATTCCAAGTGGATTTCAGGCAATGTAATTTTCTATACTCCTATAAACCTTTTACTTAAGCCATTGTTAACGGAGGCTTAAATTGCACAAACATTTTTTTTAACCGTTGTCAACACCTTGCATACAAACATTTAATTTAGAGACAGTGTCTTCATCTCATTAGATAAAGGAGGCTCAGAAAAGATAACAGTTTAAGACCTTATATGCTGTCTTACTAGGAGTTTTAAGGCAAATATGATTGAAGTGCAAATGAAAAAGGTGTCCAGCAGATGGCAGCAATAAACCACTTAGTACCTGACAGTTTTTGGAGGCTAACCACCTTGATTCAGTTCATTGTTCCTGTAACTAATCACAAAATAGCTTTCTGTCAAAGATTTCAGAATGCATCTGGATTAACTGTTAGTCCTTAAGATCCATGAGTTTCCTCCTTGTTCAGTAGGTTTATGTCTATTGGTATGGGAAGAAAAAAACATCCATTCTGTGCTTTGGAACAAGATGGTGTTTCTGTCTTTCTCTTCTGATCTAAGGAGAAGATGACAAAGTCTGAGAAAGAATAGAGAGTTGATGGCAAAAGTTGAGAACCATGTGTTGAGTTCTCGTACAGTGATGTAGGATTTACCATTTTTGCTCTGAAGTTACGTGAATTTTTTGTTTTGTATAAATTTTAGGCGTGTACCTGTTCAGAATTGTTGGTTTGTTTTTTTTTTTTTTTTGGTGAATTGGACTTTCCATCATTACTTAGTGATCTTCTCTATCTCTAACTATGCTTTTTGTTTTCACACTCCTTTTTTTCCAAATATTAATATACCTTACCAGTTTTATTTATATATTTTCTCTTCTTTTACTATCAGCCTTTTTTATGTATAGCAAATAGTTTATTATTTTAAAATTTTCAGTTTGTCTTTTTCTTTTGACTAGTGAGTTTAATCCTTTTATGTTTGTATTGTTATACTTGGACTGTATTTACTCTGCCATCTTATTATTTTTATTTAAATTGTCTTGCTTTTTTTTTCTGTTTCTTTTTCTTTTTTTTTTTTCCTACAGTGGTTCAAAGTAGTATCTCTTACTTAACCCCTCAAGACCTTTAGCATATTCTCACTTTTCTTGTCTCTGCAACACTGCTTCTACCAGTCCAGGTAAAGATAAGGAGCTTTCACTAGAATGTACATCAACTGTGTCACTTCTAACACAGTTTAGTTCCACCCACTGTTCATTTCTGCTGACATTGTTTTTGTAGTAAGTCTTCCTTTTTGAAAGAAACAATGTGTTGATATACATTCTGATGCAATCTCCTAATCATGTCAAGGATCCCAACAAATAGTTTGTAGACTGATTACTTTTCATAACACCAGTCTAGAATCCTGGCTATTTATTTGTTTACATGCTACCAGTATTATGCAGAGGTCTGATTTACGTACAGTAAAATGCACAAATCTTCTGCAGACAGACCAGAGAATTTTGATAAATTTGTATGCTTGTTTGACAATCATCCATATTAAGATATAGAATACTCCCATCGCTCCAGAGTGTTCCCTTTCTGTTCCTTTCAGTCAGTCATTCTCTTACTCTGCAATCACTGTTGGTTTCGGTCACTATAAATTAGCTTTGACTGTTCTTGAACTTTATATAAATGAAATCATAAAGGTGCTGGTTTATATCTAGCTTCTTTTCATTAATATTATGTATTTGTCAGTTGTAGTTTCTTTACTCTTGTATCATATTCCTTTGTGTGAATATACTACAACTTATCTTATTGTTCATGGGCATTTAGGTTGGTTCCAGTTTCTGGCTATTAGAGTATTGCATGATTGTGAAGATTTTGATATATGTTTTTTTGGTGAACACTTATTCATTTTTGTTGGGAAAATGTGTAGGAGAGAGATTCCTGGGTTATAGGCTATGCTGATGGATAAAGATGCTGTCAGTGTTTCAAAGTGATTGTGCCTGTTTACACTCCCCACTGGCAGTAAATGAACATTCCGGAAAATTCACCTTCTTGTCTATTCTTGGTGCTTTCTGCCTTTTTGCATTTTTGCTATTTTGTGGGTATAGTAGTATTGCATTGAGATTTTGTCTTGTATTTTTTGATAACTACTCACAGAGCACCTTCACATATGTTTATTGGGCCATTAGGATATATCCTCTTCTGTGAAGTGTCTTGTGTTGGGTTTGTTTTCTTAATGATTTGTAAAAATTCTTCATATTTTTTGACATAAATATTTATTTTATATCAATATGTAGATGTTTGTATTCATGTGTATATTTACATTTTATATATGTAGAGTGTATTCTTTACTGTGAGTTGCTTTTGAAATCTCTTAGTGTCTGTTGATATAGAACTTACCAATTTTGATATTGTCCAGTTTTACAAGTTTTCCCTTTACCGTTACCACTTTTTAAAAAACTGTTTGTGAAGTCTTTTCCCACCTTAATATCATGAATATATGTTTCAATGTTTTGCTCTAAAAGCATTATTTATTTTTAACCTTTTACCTGTAGGTCTCTAGTCCCCATCTGGAAATTATTTTTCTGTATGGTGTGAGATAGATGTCACGATTAATTTATTTTAGTCATCTTTCCCCCACTGTACTTCAGGGTCATCTTTGTCATAAATCAGTGACTGCATATATAAATATTTCATTGCATAGACAAATATTTCTGTTTATTTTGTCAGTTATATGTTATTTTCATTATCGTAGCTTTAAAATAAATTTTGCTGCCTGGTAGGGTAAGTCTTCCAGCTTTGTTCTTTTCCAAGATTTCTGTAGCACTTCTTAACCTTTTGTATTTCCAATTAAATATTAGAATGAGCTTGTCCGTTTCCAGGAAGGACCTGCAGGGATTTTGAATGGGATTGCATTGAATTTATAGATGATTTTGGAGAGAATTGACATATTTATGATGGAGATATAGTCCTCCATTAATTTCAGACTTTAGAAATACTTCTTGCTAATGTTTTGTACTTTTCTATAAAATGTTATGCATGTTTGATTTTGACACTGTAAGTGGTACCATTTTTATAATTTTATGAGTTTTTGTTGTATATACAAATATACCTGATTTTTATCATGTATATTGGACTTTTCTAATAACCTTGTAAATTCATCTACTAGTTATAATAATTTGCCTTTGGATGATTTTGGAACTTGTATATACATTCTATAATCATACCATTTGCAAAAAAGTTGCCTCACCACCCCAGCGCTTGCCCTATTACACAAGTTAGGACCACCAACGTGATGTTGAATTGAAATGGTGATAGAATTTCAGAGAGAAAGCCTTAATAGTTCACCATTAAAGTTTTTGGGAGTTGAGAGGGAGTTTAATCAGAGTATGGAAATTCTCTTTTATTTTGTTTGCTGAATTTTTGTTGTGAATGAATATTAAGTTTTACCAAATGCTTTCTCTACGTCTGTTGAGATAATGAAGTTTTTTTTGTGTTAGTGTGGTAGATTGCATGGCTTGATTTTCAAATAGTAAACTACCTTTCCATTCTTAGAATACATTCACTTGGTCGTGATGTATTATCTTTTCAAATGTTGTTAAACTAGATTTTCTAATTTTTATATTTTAAAATTATTTTTTAAAATTAAATTTTTTTTTTTTTTTTTTTGAGACGAAGTCTCGCTCTTCTCACCCAGGCTGGAGTGCGATGGCGCAATCTTGGCTCACTGCAACCTCTGCCTCCCAGGTTCAAGCGTTTCTTCTGCCTCAGCCTCCCGAGTAGCTGGGATTACAGGCGCCTGCCATCACGCCTGGCTAAATTTTGTATTTTTAGTAGAGACAGGGTTTCACCATGTTGGCCAGGCTGGTCTCGAACTCCTGACCTCAGGTGATCCACCCGCCTTGGCCTCCCAAAATAGTGGGATTACAGGCATGTGCCACCGCGCCCGGCCTAAAAATTAATTTTTAGAAAAGAGATAGGGTCTGTCTCTTTTTGTCCAGTCTGGCCTTGAACTCCTGGGCTGAAGTAATCCTCCTCCCACAGTCTCCCAAGTAGCTGGGACTACAGGTGCATGCCACTATACCCAGCTCTGCTAATAGTCTATGTTTTTGCATGTATGTTCATGAGTAAGATTGTTCTACTCTGTAATTTTCTTGTTTTTCTACTTGTTCTTGCCATGTTTTGGTATCAAGATCATGCTGGCTTTATAATGAGTTGAGAAGTGTTTCTTATTTTTCTGTCCTTTGAAAGAATTTGTGTACAACTAATGTGCTTATTCCTTAGGTATGTAAAAGAATTTGCCAGAATTCAGCCTTCTGGACCTGGAGTTTTCTTTATGAGAAGGTTTTTAATAACAGTTTTAATTTTTAGATATTGGCATATTAAAATTTGTATGTATATTCGTGTTGGTTTTTGAAAATTTGTCCATTTCATCTAAACTTGTCATTTGTTGGTGAAAGTTGTTTAGGATTATCCTCTTTTTAACATCTTATAGGGACGTCTGCTTTTCATTCCTAATACTGGTTATTGGTGTTTCCTCTCTTTTTCTTCATTTCCAAGAACCAAATTTGGGCTTTGCTGATTTTTCTATATTGTGCTTATTTTCTGTTTTTATTGATTTTGGTTTATATCTTTATTTCCTTTCTTCTACTTTTCTTTAGTTTAATTTGTTTTTTCTTTTCCAAAGTTTTTGACATGGAAACTAGATAATTGATTTTTAGCCTTTCTCCCTTCTCTGGCATATGAATGAATTCTCATAAAGAGAAGCCTTTATTATTTGGGAAAGAATGCATTCAGTAAACACCCTAGTAGTAAATATAGCAGTTAGTTCTTTTTATGTGCGTTGTTTTAAAATTGTGAATTCTAAGGCATGTTGTATAGGCCATTATCCTTAATGCATTTATATATCCATGAACAATATACAGTATGATTTTGTACGTATTTTACAACTTAGGTAAGTGATATGTAATATTCTACAGGTTTCTTTTTTAACTCAATTTTATGTTTTTTGTGTATATGTGTATTTGTATTGTAGTTCTAATTCATATTTATTACTTTATAATATTCTGTCATTTGAATATACCTGTATTTTTCTCTGTTCCCCTGCTAATCTACATTTCAGTTATTCTTTATTGCTAATAATAATGTCTACATGGTGTAGCAGTGAACATTCGGATTCAATTCTCTTTGATCATATAAGTCAGTTTCTTTAGGATATAAACCTAGCTATAGCGTTCCTAGGATATAAAACTAGGAATAGTGTATTTTCAACTTTAATGATATTATCAAACTTCTCCCTAAAATGGTCCTACCAGTGTATACCTTCCAGTAGAGGATGAGAATTTCTGTCACTTATCATCTGAACCCCATATGTCGTCATCTGACTTCAACATTTTAATCAGTCTGGTGAGTGTGAGATGATACATAATTTTAATTTACATTTATACTATTATTGATTTTGTCATTTTTTTCACACATTTTACTGGCAGTTTTGTTTCCTTTTATGTAAATTTTTACTTCAGTGATTTTTCAGTTGGGTTTTGCCATTTTTCTTATTGATATGGAAGAGTTTTTTATGTGGTTGGAATTTAATTCTTGTTAAATGTGTTGCAGTAATCTTCTCTGAGCCTGTTGCTTCTGTTTTGTTTTTTGTATCTTTTTACCGTTCATAGTTTTTGCTTTTGACAATTAAATCTAGTAATGTTTTACTTCATTGTTTTTGCTTCACATGCTCATATATGGCGTGTGTGTGTAAGACACCCATTCCCATCCTAAGGCCATAGAGGTATTTTGTTTACAGAGAGATGTTATTGCATAATGATTAAGAGCCAGGGCTCCGGAACAAGCTAAGTTAAAACTTCACCTCTGTCATGTACTAGCTGTGTCTCCTTGGATTCTCTGTGTTCCTTTTCTTTTTTTTTTTTTTTTTGAGACAGAGTGTAGCTGTGTCGCCCAGGCTGGAGTGCAGTGGCGCAATCTCGACTTACTGTAAGCTCCGCCTTCCTGGGTTCACGCCATTCTCCTGTCTCAGCCTCCCAAGTAGCTGGGACTACAGGTGCCTGCCACCACGCCAGGCTAATTTTTTTGTATTTTTAGTAGAGATGGGGTTTCACCGTGTTAGCCAGGATGGTCTCGATCTCCTGACCTCGTGATCTGCCCACCTCGGCCTCCCAAAGTGCTGGGAGTAATCCCAGGGCGTGAGCCACCATGCCCAGCCTCTCTGTGTTCCTTTTTAAAAAATATAGATGGTAATTGTACGCACCTCCAGGGCTGATGTTAGGAAGTACATGCCTGAATGGTATGACAGTCATGTGATTCCCTGGTGATACTGGTTGTTGTGTATTTTGAGTATCATCTCTCACTAACTCATGGGATTACTATGAACATTAAATGAGGTCATATATATAAAGTACTTATTAATGCCAGGGATATAACAAGAGCTCAGCAGATGTTTGTTATTTTGCTTTCTAATTGTTTTGTTTTACATTTAAGACTTCATCCGAAGTTGGTATTAGGCACAATAATTTACACTCATTAATATTCTTCCACAATATGCTTGGGGTGCTATGCAGAAAAGAGTTAATGTCGCAGGTCTAAGATTGCCTCTTCTTAGATAACCCGCTTGAAAGGTTGGCACTTGGCTGGTAAACAGTTCCTTAGAGTGCTATAAAACTTTTCATAAATGATAAGAGCACAGTAGGCTTGCTGTGCCTAAACTGTTTGCACAGATAATGTGATTTATGCTGACTACCTGCTTTCCTTTTGGGAGTCTAGAATTTTGATACATGCGAGGCAGAGGGTACCCACAAGACCATCCCCCAGTGAAACCTTGGGAGCTGAGTTTCTTAAGAACATCCACGGTGGGCCGGGCGCGGTGGCTCATGCCTGTAATCCCAGCACTTTGGGAGGCTGAGGCAGGTGGATCACCTGAGGTCAGGAGTTCAAGACCAGCCTGACCAATACAGTGAAATCCCGTCTCTACTAAAAATACAAAAATAAGCCGAGTGTGGTGGCACGTGCCTGTAGTCCCAGCTACTCGGGAGGCTAGGAGAATTGCTTGAACCCGGGCGGCAGAGGTTGCAGTGAGCCCAGATCATGCCACACTCCAGCCTGGGTGACAGAGCAAGGCTTTCTCAAAAAAAAAAAAAAAAAAAAGAACATCCGTCGTGGACAAGACTTTGCACTCTTTGCATGTATTGTCACAACTGGTTGCTGGAGGTATTAAGCACATCCTGTGTAACTCCATTGGGAGAGGACTCTTGGAAGCTTTCACCTGATTTTGCCCCATGTGACTTTTCCTTTCTTATTTTGCTTTGTATCCTGCTGGAATAAATCTTAGTTGTTAATATTACTGTATGCTGAATCCTTTGACTCCTTTTAGTGAATTTTCTATTTTGGGAGTGGGCTTGGGGACTCCTGACACAGGTACTGATATGAAGTTATCTTTCTTTACTTCATGATAGCATCTTTTTTTGTTCCTCATCTTTTATATTAGTCCTTTGAAATAGCTATGGACTACCTACTACCTTTGGTTTCAGACTAGGATGAATTCTAGAGGAGTTGAGTAAATTGGCACTAATAGGTTAGGAAGTAGTTTACTACTTGTTACACTCTCAGTCTCAGAATTTTTGAACTCAATAAACTTTTAACTGATATTTAACTTTCTTGATTAAATATAGCATTTTTTCTGATAAATATTATAATCATTGTATGTGCACAATCTTAGGCAAAAACATTTTTTTCTCTTGTAAACACAGTGAGCCATACTCAGAATCTTCTTTGCAGCAATGCTAGGACAATACAAGAGCTCTCATTGAAGAATAGTTGAACTACAATGTCATGATGATTGATTTTCTAACACTGAAATATTTAGGAGGTGATAATTTTAAATCATCACATGGAGTGCCTTTATTTTTGGAATGATTTTTATAGGAGGCCCAAAGAAGTGTTTGAATCAGATCATCACTGAAAGTATCTGGCTTTATTTTTGTTTTATCAGCCTTGCCTTATCTTCACATAGTGGGGAAGTTTAACTCCTTATTTAAATGAGATTCTTGTTCACTTTAAAAGGTAGATCCAAAAACTTACTTGTATGCTTTTGACACACCAACAAGTAGGTATGCCTTCATTTTCATGAGGCTAACACATTTTATTTACATTTTTTAATCTGTGTTTTACTAAGAGGAGAGCTGGCTAGATTTGGGTTTCTACCTTGTGACTGATACAGCTAGACTTTATTGAGATTTAAATGTCTGCTGAATGTCATAATATTCTTAGCAGTGTTTGCGTGGGTATATGAGTTCCCTAGATTATTTGCACTGAAATTTGGAATTTCTCTAGTCCAAAAATATGGAAGAAGAATATAAAAATATCAAACCTGGTTTATATTTGCCTTACTTGGTTTTGAGTTTTAGAATGAATTTAGGAAGTTTTTAATTGCTCTCTAATTTTGTATCTGTGACATTTTACTTCGCTTGGGTTATTTAACTCTAAGGAAGAGACCAGAGATGCTTTGATCTTTTTATTTATTTATTTATTTTTATTTTGAGATGGCGTCTCCCTCTGTCTCCCAGGCTGGAGTGCAGTGGTGTGATCTCGGCTCACTGCAAACTCCACCTCCTGAGTTCACGCCACTCTCCTGCCTCAGCCTCCCAAGTAGCTGGGACTACAGGTGCCCGCCACCATACCTGGCTGATTTTTTGTATTTTTAGTAGAGACGGGGTTTCACCATGTTAGCCAGGATGGTCTCGATCTCCTGACCTCATGATCTACCCACCTCAGCCTCCCAAAGTGCTGGGATTACAAGCGTGAGCCACCGTACCCGGCTGAGGTGCTTTATTCTTTCTAATGTGTATTCACATATACTATCTCAGGTGGTTGCACCTTCTCTACATTTTGCTAGTTTTTCACTTTATTTAACAATATTATACTACTGTCAAACTGTTTTCATTAAACTCTGGTGAGATCATATTGTTGTTGCTTTAAATCTGTATCTGAATAACAAAGATCAGAGCAGAACTAAATGAAATTGAAATTAAAAAATCATAAAAATGATCAATGAAATGAAAACTTGGTTCTTTGTAAGGATAAACAAAATTGACAGGCTGCCAGCTAGATTAGCCAAGAAAAAAAGAGGAAAGATTCAAATAAGCATGATCAGAAGTGATAAAGGTGATTTTACAACTGATGCCATGGAAATACAAAGGATCATCAGAGACTGCTATGAACATCTCTATGTGCACAAACTAGAAAACCTAGAGGAAGTGGATAAATTCCTGCAAACATAACATCCCAAGATTGATCCAGTAAGAAATAAAAATAATGAATAATGAAATTGAATTAGTCATTAAAAAAACTACCAACTAAAAAAAGCCCAGGACTGGACAGATTCACAGTCGAATTTTACTAGGCATGCAAGAGAGCTGGCATCAATCTTACTGAAACTATTCCAAAACATGGAGGAGGCGGAGGAATTCCTTCTTAACTCATTGTATGAAACCAATATCATCCTGGTACCCAAATCTGGCATGGACACAACAAAAGAAAAAAACTACTGGCCAGTATCCTTGATGAACACACATGCAAAAGTCTTCAACAGAATACTGGCAAACCAAATCAAACAGCAACTCAAAAAGATAACTCATCATGATCAAGTGGGTTTTATTTTAGGAATGCAAAGATGTTTCAGCATACACACATCAATAAATGTGACCCACCACATAAACAGAAAACAAAATCCATATGATCATCTCAATAGATGAAGAAAAAGCATTTGATAAAATACAGCATCCCTTCATGATAAAAACCCTCAGCAAACTAGGCATCAAAGGAACATACCTGAAAATAATAAGAACCCTATATGATAAACCTGTAGCCAACATCATACTGAATAGGCAAAAGTTGAAAGCATTTCCCCTAAGAGCTGGAACAAGACGAGGATATCCACTCCCATCACTCCTATCAGCATAGTCCTAGCCAGAGCAAACAGGCAAGAGAAAGAAGTAAAAGCCATCCAAATTATAAAAGAGGAAGTAAAATTATCTGTTTGTTGTTGATATGATCTTATGCTTAGAAAACCCTAAAGATTCCTCCAAAAGACTTTTAGAATTGATAACTTCAGTAAAGTTTCAGGATACAAAATTAATATACAAAAATTGGTATATCCATACACCATCAGTGCTCAAACAGAACCAAATTGAGAGCTGAAATCAATTTACAATAAACACACACACACACACACACACACACACACCCAGGAATACATTTAACCAAGGAGGTGAAAGACCTTTACAAGGAGAAGTACAAAACATTGATGAAAGAAATCATAAATGATACAAACAAATTGAAACATTTCATTCTTATGGATTAGAAGAATATCATTAAAATGACCATACTGCTCAAAGTAATCTACAGATTCAAGGCAATTCCCATCATATTACCAACATCACTTTTCACAGAATTAGAAAAAACAATCCTAAAATTCAAGTGGAACCAAAAAAACACCCCAAACAGCCAAAACAATCCTAAGCAAACAGAACAAAGCCAGAGGCATCACATTACCTGACTTCAAACTATACTACAAAGCTGTAGTAACCAAAACAGCATGGTACTGATATAAAAGTAGACACATTGATTAATGGAACAGAATAGAGAACCAAGAAGTAAAGCCACATGCATACATCTGACTGAACTTCGACAGAACCAACAAAAATAAACTACGGGGAAAGGACACCCTAT